>NC_000014.9:76126864-76278379 GCF_000001405.40 Homo sapiens | reverse complement strand
TCCCCTCCTCCCCCTTTTATTTTGGCCCAGGAACATGTCCCCAGCATGTCAACAGCAGTGGGAAGTAACCTAATTAGTAGTTATTTGATAGACTGCCCACCCTCCTGTCCCACTGGCAATCCAGCAGCCTTGTTCTGCAGACAGGAAAATATTTCCTTGCTAATTAATCTGAGCACAGGGATTTGAGTTTGGACCAAGGCAGGGAAATCCATCTCCAGGAGTCTTGCTCAATTGCATCTGTTTCTCCTACAATCATTTCCTTCCCTCTGACTCCCCCCTGCTCCAACCTACCCCTCTCCAATCTCATCTTCTACCTTTATTAAGGCTGGTTACCCTGATGACTTTCCGCATGCCCCCTACGGCTGCTCTTACGAAGAGGTTGCTCTCCCAGGACGCACTTCGAGTTGGCTCCTCCAGCACTAGGCGCTGCCTGAGGCTAGGCAAGTTCATGCTCCTAGGCTTGTAGCACGTGAGGCACCAATGGCCTGGTCTGTTCCACTCCCAGGCCCCATCAGAATAGCACACACCTCACCGCAGTGCCCCCTGCCCCGGCACATCACACTCCCAAACAAATACAGACATCTCACTGTCGTTTTTAAATAAGGTTCAGCTGCTGTCCCTGGGCCCTGCCCTGGTCCTCTGTAGAATCATCTATTTGCATCCAAGGAAGCTCCTAAGAAAGGGGCAACTGTACACACAATTCCACGTGCTTTTCCTCCCTGGCAGCGAGACCTGGGTGCTGCGTATGTCTCCAGGACACACACTGAACACCGGCAGTTGGAATGGGGTCTTGGGTGTTGACGGGAGACTGAGAAGGAAAAGAGGCTTATCCATGATGAAGGAATGATGGTTTCATTTCTGTTGGATGAGCTTAGGATCAATGGAAAGAAAGCTGTCTTTGCCTGATACTAACTTTTTAGACAAATATGAAGATTTCAGCGAGAGAGAGAGATTGGTTGTAATTGGTAGATATTCTATTGTTATTGTTTGTCCAGCATACCCTTTGTCTGATAACTTCTCTCCAGTTTTGCTCTGGCGAGCGCTGCCACATCCATTACTTGCAGCCTTGGAGGCACCGCCAATCACATGACTCATCCTGGGCCAATCTCTCCTTAGGCGGTGAGTGTAAAGTTGGATACCCAAAGGCTGAAAACAGCCAAGCATCCCCACATCTTCAGCCGCCTTGGCTCCTTTATGAGGGTTGGCCTTTCTGTGAGCTCTGCCACCCTTCCAATACATTCCAGTTTTGCTTAGGTCGGCTCAGTCAGTTTCTGTTTCTTGCAACCAGACAACAATGGAGCTGGTGATACAATGCCTTGGACAGTCTAACCTTTGCCTTACCAGCTTCTCCTTTCTATCTCCTAAGTCCAGGTCTGGGAAATTTTGTTTAGTGAGGAGTCGGGCAATTTTTTAATGAAATTGCAGTATAAGGGGCTGAAGGTGAATGTTCTTCCCTTTGAAGTCCCTGGATCTCTTCCTTCTCAGACTATTTCTCAGAAATGTTCTCCACTTCACTTGGGAAACATCTCCAACACCGTAAGAGTTTTTTCTCTCTGACTATATCCTTCCTGTGCCCAGGCAATGCCCCCAGTCTGAGCCAATCATTACAGAGCAAAAGATCAGGACCTGACTGGATGGTCGGTGATACTCAAATCCACCCAACTTCATTGAATGTAGTGGTGCATGTCTATAGTGCCAGCTACTCTGCAGGCTAAGGCAGGAGGATCACTTGAGCCCAGGAATTTGAGACCAACCTAGGCAACATAGTGAGACCCCACCTCTAGAAAAAAATTTTTTTTAATTAGCTGGGCATGGTGGTGTGCACCCGTAGATCCAGCTACTTCGGAGGCTAAAGTGGGAGGATTACTTGAGCCCAGGAATTGGAGGCTACAGTGAGCTACGATTGTACCACTGCACTCCAGCCTGGGCAACAGAGTGAGATCCTGTCTCAAAAAAAAAAATTCACCCAACTTTTAAAGGACAGCTGGGAGGAAAAAGAGACTGAACCTTGTGGTAGATGTGGATCCTTCCAGATCCAGCTATCCTTCAGTACCTAAATCTGCATAAGCCACAGGGAGGCCAGCTACTTCATCTACCGGCCTTTTAAAGGAGGCACAGAGCTCCCCCAAAGATATTAATTGTAGGAGGCAGATAACGCAATCTAAACCCAACTTGAAAGTGGTAATATTTTCTCAAGTATCAAGGCATCTTACCTTTCTACCCAGATGGTGCTTTCTATGATTTGAACATAACATTTATCTTCTTTGTTGCTCCATATGGGTCCTACCCTTATAACAAATGCACTACGTTGGCCTTAATGTTGATTTCCCTCATTATTCAAGGATGGTCCCTGGACTCCACTAAATTCTAAGGGTTCCATAGCCTTCCTCTGAGAGAGTTGGCCAATTCTTGCAAAACTAAAGAAAGTTATTTATTAAAAAGAAGGAATAATGTCCTAATGACAAATTTATGATGTCCCCATTTCCTCAGAGCCATAGCAGAATTCCACTGTTTACAGAGCACATGAATAAATCCAGATTGGCTCCATTTGTTTCCAATGTTAGTGAGGTAGCACGAAGATTATGATCCTGTTGGAAGCAAAGTCCTTCCAGCCACTGAGGAAGGGCCATGTTATATACCACGTGGGGCTACCTTGACTTGGAAGCATTTCTTGAGAACACTACTGGGGATTACTGTTATCTATTCTGGGCCCAAGACTCCCCTGATGACACCACATTTCTTATGAAAGAAGAGCTCTCTCTCCACCTACCAGCCACCTAAAGAATAAAGCTCCTCTAGACCCAAAGAACATACTCATGTTTCTCTTGGACAGGGCTAAGTTAATCCCAAAGGAGAAGTGACATTTTCCAAATGGTATTTACTAATCTCTATTGACCAAGGCCTGTAATCTCAGCACTTTGGGAGGCCAAGGCGGGTGGATCACTTGGATCACTGGAGGTTAGGAGTTTGAGACCAGCCTGGCCAACATGGTGAAACCTCATCTCTACTTAAATAAATAAATTAGCCAGGTGTGGTGGCGGGCACCTATAATCCCAGCTACTTGGGAGGCTGAGGCAGAAGAACCGCTTGAATCCGGGAGGCAGAGGTTGCAGTGAGCCGAGATCGCACCACTGTACTCCAGCCTGGGCGACAGAGCGAGACTCCACCTCAAAAAAAAAAAAAAAAAAAAAAAAAAAACAAATAACAACAACAAAAATTCTCTTGACCAAGACACTACTTTCTTTAATCTCATCCTAAATCTGTCTGAAAAAGCCATGCAAGCTCACTTGTCTCTTTCAAATATGACTTGGGAACCTGAGTGGTTCAATCCCAAAGGCCTCCCCATCCACCATATAGCAACATGGCCAAGAGCACAGGCACTGGAGTCCAACTGCCTAGGTCTAAATCCTGGCTGGGCTATTACTTGTTGCACTGGTTATCTATTGCTGCATAAGAAATTATCCCAAACCCAGCAGCTTAAGACAAGACTCCTTGTTGGAGTGTGCACAATCTGTATATTGAGGGTAGCAATAGTACCTACTTTACAAGGATGTATGTGGATTAAGTGAGATCATGCAAGTAGGGTACTTTGTGCAGTTTCCACTACATAGGAGGGACTCAATATACAGAGATGCTACAGATGAGATCAACCTAAACCCTGGGCCCCTTTAGGAGCCACAGTTTCTGTGGCTCCGGGAATCTGGGACTAGCTGAGCTGGGTCCTCTGGTTTAGCATCTCTCACAAGGCTACAGCCAATGTATGGCCCAGGGTTGCAGTCATCTCAGACTTCCAAACTCACTCACATGGTTGGTGGCAGGATTCAGTTCCTCATGGGCTGCTGATGGGAGGCTGTCCTCAGTTCCTTGAGGCCTCTCCAGAGGACAACTGACATGGTAGGTCCCTTCACCAGAGCAAACAATCTAAAGGAGCTAGGGAGAGAGAGTATGAGCAAGACAAATGTCACGGGCTTTTGCCCTAATCTCAGAAGTGACATGCCGCACTTTGATCTATTCTATCCATTAGAAGCAAGTCACTAGGCACAGCCCACACACAGGGAGCGGGAACTGCATGTGGATGTGAATACCAGAGGCAAGAACCTTAAGGGCAGCTTAGAGGCTGCTGACCACACCAGTCATGTGACTTTGGCAAGTTATCTCACCTCCCAGTGCCTCAGTTTCCCCATCTGTAAAATGGGAATGTTAATAATTAATAGCAATTAGCCTCCAGGGATAGTGTGTGGGTTAAATACATGAATTCCAGTAAAGAACTTGGAAACATGCCAGGGAAGAGTGCATGTTCAATACATCTTTGCAATTACAAGTATTTACAGGAGGGGAGAAATAACAAAGGTGATTTGAGATCCTGGCATGCACCCACTAAACTAAGTCCCAGCCTGGTTTGCTACTGCAGAAAATATTCCAGTACCACAAAGAGAGAGGGGGAAGTGGGGCTGGAAGCAGGAGGAGATGCAGGCAGACAGGTCATCAGGATGTGTGATGCGAAAGGTGGGGAAAGGAACCTGGCAGGCCAGGGCTGTTCCAGGAGCCCAGGTCTTTGTCTCCTAAAGAGGCCCAGGGTTTAGGTTGATCTCATCTGTAGCATCTACATATATTGAGTCCCTCCTATGTAGTGGAAACTGCACAAAGTACCCTACTTGCATGATCTCATTTAATCTACACACATCCTTGTAAAGTAGGTACTATTGCTACCCTCAATATACAGATAGTGCACACTCCAACAAGGAGGATTATAAATTGTAATTTACTGACAAAAAAAATGGAAGCTCAGAGAGGTTAAGAAACTTGCCTGGGGTCACACAGCTTTGGAGTAGCAGAACAGGGAGTCAATTGAAGTCTGTCTGACTCAGGGCCCAACCTTGAATCCACCAGGCTAACAGGCAGGGACCAGGCAGAGAACCGAAAACAGAGCATGCACTCCTAGTGTCTCCATTCATTCTTACTCTGACCCCCACTCTCCAGCCTCCCCAATGTGAGAAACAGGCTCTCGGGCTTCTCCAGAGCTGCACATGCTGTTTCTCAGCCTCGCCTCCCCATCCTTACAACCCAAATGTGAGCCTTGATGGGGTCCAGCCTCTAGCCTGCCTGACTCACCCTCTCCAGCTCTTTGCATCATTATGTCTGCGATAGACTACATGTTTATCCCCCCAGAATTCTTGTGTTGGAACCCTAAGCCCCAGAAGGATGATATTTGGAGATGGTGTCTTCATGAGGGTAGAGCCTTCCTGATGGGATTAGTGCCCTTAGAAGAAGAGATACAAGAGCACACTCTCTCTGTGTGTGCATGTGTGTGGGTGTGTGTCCCTTCTCTCTCTCTTCCTCTCTGTCTCACTCCCTCTCTCTCTGTCTCCCTCTCTGTCTGTCTCTTTCTCTTACTCTCTCTGTCTCTTTCCCTCCCTTATCTCTCTCTCCCTCTCTCTCTGCCTTTCTGTTTCTCTCTCTGTCCACTCCCTCTCTCTATCTCTCTCTCCCTCTCTCTCTCTTTCTCTCTGTCTCACTCCCTATCTCTTTCTCTGTCTCTCTCTCTCTTCCTCTCTCTGTCCCTCTCTCTCTCTCCCCTCCCCCCTCTCTCTGCCTCTTTCTGTGTGTCTCTCTGTCTCTCTGTATGTCTCTCTATATGTCTCTCTGTGTCTCTGTCTCTCTGTGTCTCTCTGTCTCTATTTCTCTCTGTCTGTCTCTCTCCCTCTCTCTTTCTCTCTCTCTGTTTCACTCCCTCTCTCTCCCTCTCTATGTGTCTCTGACTCTCTCTCTTTCTCTCTGTCTCACTCCCTCTCTCTCTGTGTATGTGTCTCTAACTCTCTCTCTTCCTCTCTCTTCCTCTCTCTCTCTGTCTCTCTCTTTCTGTCCCTCTCTCTACCCCTCTCTCCCTCTGCCTCTCTCTCTGTATGTCTCTGTATGTCTCTCTGTCTCTCTCTGTGTGTCTGTCTGTCTGTCTCTCTCTCTCTTTCTCTCTCCCAGGTGAGGACATGAGAGAGCAGCCATGTGCAAGCCAGGAGGAGGAGGCCCTCCCCAGAATCCAACGAAGTTAGCACTCTGATCTCCGACTCCCAGCCTCCAGCACTGTAGAGAAATGTATTTAAGCCCCCTAGTCTATAGTATTTGTTATGGCAGCCTGAGCCAACTAAGACAGTCATAACAGAAATAGAGCAACCTTAACACCATCATTGCAATCCCATCCTGCTCCTTTAGATTTCTTACAGTTGTCACCGTCTGACACCAAGTGCTTTCCAAAGTCACCTTTCTTCTCCACCTTTGTATTAAACCCTTTTCTTCAGATCATATTCATCTATCTTGAGCTCAGGAGCTGGCCTCGCTGACCCCTAATTCTTATGACACCACGAAGATCCTCCTTCCCACAAACCACTACTTCTAGATCCATATCATGGAGTCCCAGGCCACCCTAAAGAGATGCCCACTGTCCTGAGTGACCAGTGGCCCCCTCCAGGAGAAAAAGATTTTTCTCTGCCCATCACCAGGATGGAAGAGAAAGCCAGAGGCCCAGAGGAGAGACAAGAGAAAGATGGAGACCGAGGTGTAGACTCGAGGGGAGAGAGCGTGCTCTAGGGGGGCTATAAATTCCCTTCTAATTCCAAATAATTCCGATTACACGGATGAGTAGTTTTCAATCAGGAAGATAATCTCAGAGATAGATGGCAGGATAATTGTTCGTAGCGCCGACGTAAATATTGTGTCGTTTCTATTAATCTCCGCGAATCGGCTGTCAGAGGTGTCACTCATTCATCACAACAAATTAAAAATAGAATTTTAAGAGAGAAAGTCACGCCTGGGGGTGGGGTGGGAGAGGCTGGGCTCGCTTCAGGAACTGTGAATAAGAGGGGGAGGTGTCGCCTGCAAGCTGTTGCCAGAAATAAATCTGGCTTCCCAATTTAATATATTTATTTATGAAAGCAAATGGTAACGAGGGCTGTAGATCTCTATTAACTTCCCTGTAAGAGTGTGCACACATGTGAGCATGTGCGTGCACATGCATTGATGCAGAATGCCATACTAAGCCAAAGCATGGGCTGCCACTCTGCTAACATTGCCCTGGGGTGAAGCATCCTCAGCCCCATCTGGACCATGGAGCATGGACCTCCCAGGGGCAGGTCACCTGTATTCTGCACACCCCAGCCTTTCCCAGCCAGTGAGGGGTGATGGTGGGCAGGTCTAGGCATTGAGACCCCCCTTCATATTAGAGATCTGAGATCATTTTAAAGATCAGAGATGGGCTCACTTCAGCAGCACATATACTAAAGATCAGAGAGAAGCAGTAACTGGACTCACACTGGTGTTTCTGAAACTGCTGGCGATTTTCTGTAATGCCGTGGCCTTGCAGGGTTATACAGGCACCGAGGAACATAAATCCAGAGTAAAGATGCTTTAGAGCGACATCTGAGTGACAAGAGTAGGAGCTCATTTCTTTGTCTCTCTCTTATTTCAATTCCTTGAGGGCTGAGGTTCCTCCATGAGAAGGCACCCTTTCCCAGGATCCTCCCCCACCCAGTCCCCCCTCCATGCCTACCCACCCATGGTGGCAGATGCAATAGACAACACGGGTTTTGCCACTGGTTTGGAGATCCTAGCACGCACCCATTAACCTAAGTCCCTCCTGCTTTGCTGCTGCAGAAAATATTTCAGTGCCTCTGTTCTCTGCTCTGGGTATATTAGATCAGCTCCAGTCTTTGTATATGTAGCTATTTATAACAATCGTCACCCACACATACTTCCAAAATGGATTTCTCAAAGAAATTGCAATTTCTCAAATTGCATACCATTTCTATTGCCTACAATGGCAGTGTGTTTAAGGTCCGTGAGCATTAGTCCCTGGTCCCCAACACTGAGCCTATTGTCTGGCACCACACTCAATCCACTCATGTTTGTTGAATGAGTGAGTGAGTAAGAGGGTGGGTGGATCAATGGATGGGAATCAGGGTGAAACTAAAATGAGGTGGCTTCGGAAAGTTAGGAATACATTGAGTGCCCAGAAATACATAAGTGAATTCCCATATAACTGCTTGAGGTGGGCAGAGAATTTGGAGTTATGCTTTCCAGAAACAAAGCAAAGAAGGAAATTCCCTTCCTTACAAGATTCACAATGTTCCTAAGCGTTGCTCAGCTGTTCCACAGAAGCCCAATTAAAGTCAGAAATTTCTCCCGAGGTCTCATCAAGTGGGCACCATGGATAAGGCAAGTCCCAAGGTCTTGTAGGTCTTTTCTCTTGGTTTCACTGGTTTCCTCAGGGAGGAGTCTTCGTTCTCCAACTTGACTTACGTAAATCCAACTGTTGAAGCTCCAGGAGCCAAGTGGGGAAAGGAATAAAGGAACTGATTTTCAGTGTAGAAACTCACTTAATGCTCCTATTTTCAATATGGAATCCCTGCCTTCAGCCATGTCTAGAATTGAGAGTCCAGAGCCTTTCTGGCTCAATTTCTCCAGAAAATAAATCTCTTTCCTTTCTCTGTGGTAGAGGAGGGGAAATCAGTAGCCCGCATTGTGGAGAGGGAGGAAGGAGGGTATAGGGCTTCTAACAGCTACTTTTCTGAATTTAAACCTGTCCTTTTTATTTTAGTCCCATCTAGCTTGTTTCTCTTCTCTTCTCTTCGCTTCTTTTCTCTTCTTCTCTTCTTTGAGACAAGGTCTCGCTGGAGTGCAGTGGCGCTATCTCGGCTCACTGCAACTTACGCTTTCCAGGCACAAGTGATCCTTCTACCTCAGCTCCCTGAGCAGTTGGGACTACAGGCATGTGCCTCCACACCCAGCTAATTTTTGTATTTTTGTAGAGATGGAGTTTTGCCATGTTGCCCAGGCTGGTCTCAAACTCCTGGGCTGAAATGATCCGCCCACCTCAGCCTCCCAAAGTGCTGGGATTACAGGCGTGAGCCACCGCGCCTATCCTCTCATTTTCAAGGGACCCGGTGCCTCTAATACCTCAGCCTTGCTGGGGTCCCAGAACTTCCTGTAACCTGCTTTGGGGTTCCGCTCTCACTCCCTCACACCCCTACCTCCGCCCCACTCCTGACTTCAGCTTTAGCTTTCCTTGGTTAGCCAGGTCAGCAACTCTTGTTCATTTGGTTTCCAACTTCCAATATTTAATTGCTATCATCTCCTTTTCATTTCTAATATTTAATTGCTATCGTCTTCTTTCATTTTCTTTATCCTTATGGGCCCGTGCCTTTTAAAATCCATTTATCATACTTTAGCTGGTTTGGGGAAGGGATGACAATAAATGCGTGTATTTCAATTTGCCATAGTTGATTCTGCATCTCAGCAGCCTTCAGATAATAAACATGCTTGTGTATTTCCTACAACCAATGTGGCAGAGCCAGCACTGTGGGTCCGCCATCCTGTTCTCTCTTGTTAGGCACTCGGGAGAACACACTTCTCAGACTCCCTTATGGACAGGTTGGGATCATGTCGCTGAATTCCCGTGAATGGAGTGTACCAGGGAATTCTGCGCATTTGCCCTCAAATCCCTCTCATCCTCAGGAATGAAAGAAAAACACTCAGGGACAGCTGTGTGCCAGCAGGGAGCAGCCTGGATCTCTGGGTCTCTTCTGGAGGAGACCCCCCCACCGACTCACCTTGCACTGTGAGGTGAACACGAAGTCAACCGGTGTTTAACCCCTGCGTTTCACTTAAACCTCTGTGTTTAAGCCAACTGTGTTTAACCCCTGAGATTGAAGGTTTACTTGTTGTCTCATCATGGTCTGGAATATTCTAACGAATACAACTGCTTTTTATAGCGTATCTCCATAAAAGCCAAGGGCATATTCCCAGAATAGTTGTCTAGGGGAGCAAAGCAGTATAGTGAGAGTACACAGCTTTCGGTGGTTCCAGCATGGCCTCGGGTGCACGCTGGAATATCCGGAGGAACTATCCGGGTGTAAACGCTCCATACAGTCCTCCATGTGAATTACTTTTTGAAATCAAAATTCTTATGAGTTGGCCAGTTAAGTCTTTGGGGTTATATTCCTTAGCAAGCATTTGTAATACAGATACTGTGTTTTCATTAAGTGTGGAAACATGGCTTTGAAAATGAGCCAGATGAGAAACGGAATTAACATGCTCTTAGGAAAATGAAGCTGCTGGCCCGTACTCCGCATGAACAGAAGGACGGCTGTGGGACCTCTAGAAAACAGCGGTGTTCCTCCAACGACAGTTCTAGAATTCCTCTAAGACGAGCACAGGAAGGTGGAGGTTCCAAGGTGGACGGTTAGAGTGGACATCTGGGATTTATCTGCCAGACAGTTATTCTCTTTCCTCTGGTAAGAAGCTCTAATTTTCCTTGAAGACCTCCTCTTTTCTTTCTATCAATGTTGGTAGAGTGGGGCTGACCGCCCCCGGCCCCGGCTCCCCGACATGCCCCCTCCCCCGCCCGCCGGGGCACGTGACCAGCTCTGGCCAATCAGCTTGCTGTGTTCTCCGGGCCACAACGATCCGCGCAGGAGGAGCGTGAGGTCTCAGGAACTTAAAGAGAATGAACCCTGGGGATTTTGTTGAAACTATTTGTAAAGACAGCCAACTGCTACCATTTACGTTTCCCCTGGGGTTGTTAGGCTGAATGGACGCGGACCTGGGGCTGCTGAAAACCCTGTTGTCTCCAGGAGGGGAGCAGTTTCCTGGAAATGAAACTCGTCCAGAGGAACGTAGGGCCTAGAGGTAAACGGGGCTCTTTCAGCCCCCGCTGGCTCATGGTAAATCCCAACTACATTTCAGGATTGGGGAATAAAAATGAAGAGCTGGAATAAGAAGAAAGAAAGTAGGGGCACTGGGCACCACGTGGCCCCTATGTTTTCCCTCTCCAGCATAATTCAACTCCTCTTGGCTATGAATATCTGTAGAAGCCCCACGTCTCCATTATGCCTCTGGCTGGCGGGAGGTTTTGTTTGTTTGTTTGTTTTAACCAGACTCCTTGGCATTCAGAGAGAACATTCAGGAAATGTATTGTGGAGGCAGACCATTAAAAACATGCACCTGGGCCGGGCGTGGTGGCTCACGCCTGTAATCTCAGCACTTTGGGAGGCCAAGGCGGAAGGATGGCTTGAGCTTCGGAGTTTGAGACCAGCCTGAGCAACATAGTGAGACCCCCATCTCTATTAAAAAATACAAAAATTAGCCCGGCATGGTGGTGCGTGCCTGTAGTCCCAGCTACTTGGGAGGCTGAGGCACGAGAATCACTTGAATCCAGTAGGTGGAGGTTGCAGTGAGCCAAGATTGTGCCACTGTACTCCCCCCTGCGCAACAGAGCAAGACTGTCTCAAAACAACAAACAACAGAATAAAACCATGCACCTGGTACAAGGAGTGAAGTTAACATCTCAAAAACCCTCAAACCCTGTAATTTTCCTGGTAGCTAAGATGCTTGATATCTCTTGGTATCTCTCTCTCCCTTTCCTTTCCTTTCCTTTCCTTTCCTTTCCTTTCCTTTCCTTTCCTTTCCTTTCCTTTCCTTTCCTTTCCTTTCCTTTCCTTTCCCTTCCCCTCCCCTCCCCTCCCCTCCCCTCCCCTCCCTTCCCCTCCCCTCCCCTCCGCTCCCCTCCCCTCCCCTCTCCTTTCCTCCCTCCCTTCCCTTTTGAGACGGAGTCTTGCTTTGTCGCCCAGGCTGGAGTGCAACGGCAAGATCTCGGTTCACTGCAACCTCAGCCTCCCAGGTTCAAGCGATTCTCCTGCCTCAGCCTCTCGAGTAACTGGGATTACAGGCACTCACCACCACACCCAGCTAATTTTTGTATTTTTAGTAGAGACAAGGTTTCACCATGTTAGCCAGGCCGGTTTCAAACTCCTGATCTCAGGTGATCCACCCGCCTCGGCCCCCCAAAGTGCTGGGATTACAGGCGTGAGCCACCGTACCCAGCCCTCTCCTCTCTTTCTAAATCAAGACACTTCTACTACCACAAAAACAAAAACAAACAAAAAGACAGGAGCAGTAGTAATGACTGCCAACTGCTACCATTTACATTTCTTGAGTGCTCACTGTGAATCAGGCCCCTAATTCTCACAGTGAGCCTGTGAAGTAGGTATCATCCTCCCCATTTTATAGATGAAGAAACAGACTCAATAGTTAAGTAATTTCCCAAAGCTAGGAAGTGGTATAATGGAGATTTTTTAAATAGCTTTATTGAGGTATAATTTACACATCATAAAATGTAGCCATTGTAAGTGTATTCCAATGATTTTTAGTGAGTTTACAAAGCTGTGCAACCCTTGCCACCATCTAGTTCTAGAACATTCCCATCATCTTAAAAAGATCTTTTGTCTATTTGTAGTCTCTCCTTGTCCTCCTTCTCTAGCCGCAGGCAGCCACTAATCTACTTTCTGTATTGATATGGTTTGGATCTGTGTCCTGTCCAAATCTCATGTCGAATTGTAATCCCCAACATTGGAAGTGGGGTCTGGTGGGAGGTGATTGGATCACGGGGGTGAATTTCCCTTGGGTGCTGTTCTCTTGATAGTGAGTGAGTTGTCATGAGATCTGGTCATTTAAAAGTGTGTGGCACCTGCCCCTTCTCTGTCTCTTCCTCCTGCTTCCCCTTCACCTTCCACCATGACTGAAAATTTCCTGAGGCCTCCCCAGAAGTCACTACACTTCCTATACAGCCTGCAGAGCTGTGAGCCAGTTAAACCTCTTTTCTTTATAAATTACACAGTCTCGGATATTTCTTTATAGCAATTTAAGAATGGACTAATACATGTATCTATAGATTTGCCTTTTTGGATATTTCATATAAATGGAAGCATACAACATGTATCTGCGTGGTTTGCATCTGACTCCTTTCACTTAGTTCATAAAGTTTTGAAGTTCATCCATGCTGTAGCAGGTATCCGCACTTCATTCCTGTTTATGGGTACATAGTAGTCCATTGTATGGACATGCGACATTGTATTTATGCATTCATTAGTTGATGGACATTTGGGTTATTTCCACTTTTTGGCTATTATGAATAACGCTGCCATGAACATTTGCATACATGTCTTTGTGTGGACAGAAGTTTTCATTTCTCTTCGGTATACACCCAGCAGTGAATTGCTGGGTCATAGTTAGAATTTCAGCCCTGGTCTGACCCCAAAGCCTCAACTCACTACCTTTTGTTCACTCCCTTCCTCATCCCTTAAGGTCAGTCTCCAGCAGCTCAAACCCTTAGCCAGGACATTCCCTTCCACTCCTCACTCTACCCCTACCTAGGGAAATATTGTCGTTTCCACCAAGTGACACACTGAGAAGATGAATGCCAGTGATGGGTCCATGGAAGAAAACTACCCTCTTTAAAGGCACAGGCAGGGAGAAGAGGGACTGCAGCAGAGGCACCTGGGGTCCCAGCTGCTTTCAGCAGCAGCTTCAGGCTCCTAGGATGTCCCAGCACAGATGCCACTTGTCCTCTGGCCTCCACCCTGGTCAAGAAGTAGAGTGATGACAGGTTCCTCTCACCACGTAGCTTCCTCTATGCCTTCCAAATGGAAGTGACACTTTGAGGCTGGCAAAAAACGTTGGGGTGGTTGGAGGGGATAGAATGGGGGAGATGACAGACACCTGCTGTCAAGGGCTGTCACAACAGAACTGACGGTAGCCATGCCTCCTCAGGTCAGGTTCGGAGCCAACACTGCTGCTTTCCCCACACAGCGACCAGCTCTCAATGGAGTCTTTGATGAGCAGCCCGCATTTGGCATCGTGGTGTCTGGCCTGCAGGGAGGACCCGGGGGATGTAAGCTCTGGGAGAGACCAGCATGGGTGCTGGGGCAGAGGCAGAGAGGGAGCTGCAGAAGAGAATTGTCTGTCTTTCCACCAGACTGTAAGCTTCTTGAGGGCAGGGACTGTGTCTGCCTACCATACTACAGGAGCAGCACAGCGTCTGGCACATGGCATAGCAGCTGCTTAGGAAATACTGGTGGAGCAAAAGAATGGGTGAAGAAATGAACAATTATTGGAACAGCTTCATCAGAGGCAAGTTGCAGAAGTTCAGTGGTGGAGGTGGCTATTAACCAAATAATTATGGCCATCTTCTAGATAGTTGGAGATGTTCTAGCCTCTGGGTAGGATGTTTCTTCAGGGCACATGTAAAATGAGAAGAGTGAGGTGGAAGGATCTTCTCTGCTCACAGCCCCTGAAGTGAAAATAGCAGTGCAGCCTGGGGCACCACCAAAATGCAGGCCTCTCTGCTGCTCCTGCTGCCACTGTTTGGCCTGGGTGGCTTGAGCACCTACCAGCCCTCACCTTTCCTCCATCCTCCCTCCTCTGCCTGTCCTTAGCCAGCAGCAGCCGGACCACCTGTACGGGAGCAGCCAGCATGTGGCAGAGGAGGTTTCATGCCACCTCTTGCCATCAGGGAAGACCTGCCTTGAGAAGCTGCTCACTGAGGGCCCTGGGAGATGCTAATGACCATAAAGAGTCATCCAGATGCAGAGGTGATGACAGTCTGTTGCCCTCTGTCTGCCACTGCATTTTAGAATAACCTTCCCTTCCTACGAATCCAGATCTAAAAGGTGCGGCAGTGTTTTAAGGCTTCCTTTAGAACTTCTAGCTATAAACCCCAGATCTGAATCAGACCACAATGCAATTACAGGGCCTCTCTGAACCTCAGTTTCTTCATATGCGTAATGGGAACAATAATACCTACTATACCCAGTTGTTGTGAAGGTTAAATGGGTTGACATAGGTGATGTGCCAGGCATAATGCCCAACTGTATGAACACCTGCCCTTCCATGCCATGCAAGGCTGACCTTTCTCCAGGATCTGAGACAATGATACTCACTCACTCAACACTCATACTTCCACCCCACCATAGCCTCACCCCAACATAGAACCTACAACCCATTCTCCTTGGCATTTATGCCTCTCCCAAAACTCAGTCACTGTGCATCCATTGCCTGGTATTTTTGCTTTATTTCTGGAACCCCATCCCTTTCCCACATTTAGTGTCAGGTGCCAGTGCGGTTTACAACACCAATGCTTGCAACTCCTTCATGCTGATGCTGTAAATCCAAACTTCATCTCTCCCCAGGAGCATCTTCCAATCAGCCTTGGCCATCACATGGTCATTACTATTTCTGCAGTTTCTCAGGAGCATTGCATGATGCTACACTAACAGTCATTAATGAGAGGAATACGTCTTTGTGAAGTCGGCAGGCAGCTCTCCCAGAACTCAAATGGTATCCCTTCGGGTGATTCTGCATTTTTAAAAAATAACAGTGAATGGCTATTTTTCCAAATATCAAAGTGGAAGAGGCTGAGGCATTGTGCCGTGCTCTGAGAGTCTTTGTCCCTCCATCACCTTGAGAGAAGACTTGGCTTAATAGGCTCCTGCATTTTTGAGGCTAGGTTTACGAAGTGATGAGGTCTCCTGTCAAGAAGTTAGACATCTTTCATTCCTCAAAACTGACCCTAAGTAGTGGGATTGTCACTTTGTTGACTCTCCAGCATATAATCCCCTTCCTGTTACCATCCCAATATGGGAAATCCCACTGATGCCTTCTTGGGGGTAGAGAGTGTCCGCCCACCATCATGGGGAATTCCCCCATGGGGTGACATCTTAGGGAAAGGGAGCACTTGGTCATCATTAAGGAAGTTAAAGAGTCCGTTTTTGACCCTTCCCGCTCATTCCAAAAGTGGGCAGGAATATGACTCCAAATCAGCCCATCAGACACCACTGGATGCCACTGAGGCTTATCATGTAAGATAGCAAAGCCACGCGCAGATGAGGCTCCATCTTTCTGCTGCTCCTCTTTCTGATACAAGCTAGAATAAAGGCACATAAAACACAACTTCTCTATGACCCAACAATTCCACTCCTAGGTATTTCCCAAGATAAATGGAAAACACATGTCTATGAAAGACTCCGATACAAATGTTCATAGCAGCCCCAAACCAGAAACTACCCAAATGTTCACCAACTAAAACTGGGTAAGGAAATGGTGGTATATCCATACCATGGAATTCCATTCAACAATAAAAAGGAACAAACTACTGGACACATGCAACAAATTGGATGACTCCCATAAACATTAGGTGAGTGATAGAAGCCAGACCCAAAACATAAGTAGTGTATGATTCCATTTACGTAAAGTCTAAGACCAGACAAAGCTAACCTAGGATGTTAGAAGTCAGAACACGGTGAGCATTGTCTCAGTGCAGTGGGGGCAGGGGAATGATTAGAAAGGGGAACCAAAAGAACTTTCTGGAGGTATGAAAATGTCCCATGTCTTTTTAGGTGGCAATTTCATAGATGTATACATTGCTACAATCCATTGTGCTGAACTTAAGATCTGTGCATTTGACTGTATATAATTATACCTGAATTTTTTTTTAATGTCAGTTAAAAAGAAAAACTGAATAAAGGCTGGAAACTGCTCTTCCCTGGGGTTTAGAATGCCACCCATTCATTTAGAATGCCACAGGACACCCTGTCTCCCCCCCCACCACCACCACCACCAAGGTGTGGCAGCCCTACAGGTAACACCTGGCACTCCCCAGACCTGCTCTCTGCCCCCAGCAAATCCAGTTATCCTCAGCTTCCAGCTTTGTCACCCATCCCCACCTGGGGATAGAATCGATAGAGTTATCTCTGCAGGCTTCTAGCTGAGAAGAAAGAGACTAAAGAAACCACAGGAACTCCCGGGCTTTGGTTACAGTTGTTCCGTTTAAGCTGCCCATCTGTCAGGACCACACACCACAGAGGCAGCCCCAAAGGGTGAAAAAGCTAACTCAGGTCTTCTGGTCCAGCGCATCCCTCCGGGAAAGAGAAAGACCTATTTGTTTTGGCCTAAACTGAAGAAGGCAGCTGAAATTCCAGCTGCCTACAGAGAAGCACTCGATGAAGCCCTTGGAATGTAAGTGCGGTTGCTAGGATTGGGGGGAGGAGAGCTCTTTTCTAAGAGGCCTTGTAGTGTAGGATAGGAGAAAAAAACACAAGCATTGAGGCAGAGACCTTCAGATCCCAGCTGTGCTACTTAACCAGGTGTGTGACCAGGACCAGGGGACAGCCTTTCTGTGGCTTCCTCATCTACCAGTTCAGGGGGTGGGAGGGATGTTGGGGAGAGGGTATACAAAGGTAAGTGCCAAAAGTCGCTACACTCAACCCCCTAACCTGAGCAAGCCACATGGTATGATAAAGATTCTTGCAAACTGTGTGCTGTTTGCACAAAGTGATAGACATATGTAAAGTGACATGGGGGTGCGTGTGCATTGCCTTTGTGTAAAAATGAATAGGTAAAGTCCTCACCTTTCTTTGTATCTCAGGCTCAATGTCAGTTCCTTGGAGAGGCCTCCCCAGACCCCTCACAAACCCTTAAATGTCCCCTCCCATATTCTCTCTCAAGTAGTTATCCCAAGTGATTTTTTTTTTTTTGAGACAGGGTCTCACTCTGTTGCCCAGGCTGGAGTGCAGTGAGGCAATCACAGCTCACTGCAGCTTTGCCTTCCAGGGAGCAAGCAATCCTCAGCCTCACGAGTAGCTGGGCCTACAGGTGCATGCCACCAGGCCAGGCTAATTTTGGGGTTTTTTGATAGAGACAAGGTCTCACTATGTTGCCCAGGCTGATTTTGAACTACTGGTCTCAAGTGATCCTCTTGCCTCAGCTTTCCAAAGTGTTGGGATTACAGGTGTGAGCCACCGCTCCTGGCCCAAGTGATTTTTTTTTTTTTTGAGACAGAGTCTCGCTCTGTCACCAGGTTGGAGTGCAGTGGCGCAATCTCGGCTCACTGCAACCTCCACCTCCCAGGTTCAAGCGATTCTCCTGCCTCAGCCTCCTGAGTAGCTGGGACTACAGGTGTCCGCCACCATGCCCAGCTAATTTTTGTATTTTTAGTAGAGATGGGGTTTCACCATGTTGGCCAGGCTGGTCTCGATCTCCTGACCTCGTGATCTGCCTACCTCAGCCTCTCAAAGTGCTGGAATTACAGGCGTGAGCCACCGGGCCTGGCCTCAAGTGATTACTATATATCCACTTGCAGTCATTTATTTTGTGTCTCCCTCACTCACTAGGTTACTAACTCCACAAAGGCAGGGACTGTCTGCTGTCTTAACCCACTATTTTCATTAAACACGTAACACAGTGCATGGCACAGAGTGGCTGTTCAGCAATTATTTGTGAGTGAACAAATTCATATCCATAGTAAAAATGGTTTGAAGCTTATTATGTGGGGCTTCCCCACATGCCTAAATCTGGAATGTGAGAAAACCTGGTAGGTAGAACTATCTTGCTAAAGATATGAAATGTTTCTGCATAAAGACATGTGTTCATAGAGATTATCATTAAAGTGAAACCCACAGAACTTTATTCCCAGTTGGGATCCAGCAGTAAGCTAGCATCTGACAAAAGCATTATTTTTTATTCAAATAACCTGTATCTATAAGTGGCACCTGCCCATAACAGAGCCTATGCTTTTTTTTCTTTTAAAAACTCAATAAATCATTCCTGATATTTTTAATGGAGATTAAATTAAATTAATACTATCAGCTTTTTTTAATGCAGTTCACATTTTCAACATCTATTTTAAAGTAGCTTGAGGTCTGTAAAATCCAGTGCTTTGAAATGGTCTGGGGTTTCATGGTTAATTTCCATATTAATTTAAGCTATAAACATGATTAGGAAGTAAATCTGCTGCCAAATAATATATATAAATGCATTCTGAAATCAAAGGTGCATTTGGGGTTATCAATGGATGTAGATTTCTATGCCAAAGAAGCCCTCAATTAATATAGGGGGATGTAAAACTACTCCATTTTTACTAGTTAAATTTTTATGGAGGTCAGCTTTGGAAGTTTCATGCCACCCTATTAATCAGCAATTTCACTTTCTTAAAATCATCCCTATGACTCACTTCTTCTGAGAAGCCTTTTCTAAGCCCGCTTCAAGGAAAGCAAACTCAGAAGTAACCCTTGACCTGCCGACCCCAGAAACTCGCCCTCAGAGTACCTACCATCTCTCGGAATCGAGCATATGGAACATCCCCAAACAAAAAGCGAGCTTACCTCTGCTCACCAATGTCTTTGCTATAAGCTGGGCAGCCCTTGTCCAGCCAAGCTCTTCAGCCTTGAGTCAATAATGCCTGACATTTTTAATTTTTGAGCATATACAGTGTGTAGGGCACTGTCCTGACACCTTTTGGTAGATTATCTCAGTTCTATGAGGTCAATCTCTGTTTAGCTCCATTTTACACATAAAGAAACTGAAGACCAGAGAGGTTAAATAACTGCCCAAGGCCACACAGCAGCTAAGTGGACAGCTAGGCAGACCACCTCCAGGCTGTTCTTTTAATCACTCCACTCTACTACAATGAGCTGAGCAATCTCTGAATTTAGTGTTTTTAGTATTTGGAAGTCTGGAAAGATATCTGCAAAGAAGAGGAACAAAGAGAAGATTGGAAGGAGCCAGGTGGACCTGCCTTCACTCATACAGTGAAACTCCAGTCTTGGAAGGCAGAAATGGGAGCTAGCAAGAGAGTCCCCCAGGAGAGCCACATACACCCAGGCTATGCAGTAGGAAGTCAACTGCACCTGCTACATCTACCGAACTGCTATCTCTACATCTATCTCCATTTCTTCCTCCTGTGCCCTTTGCTGTCTCCTCCCAGAATCTCTGTTGACACAGCCTCTGCCCTCAAGCCTGAGCCTTACCTGCCTCCCTAGCCTCCGCACCTGAAGCTTAACACACCCTGCAGCATGCCCAAGGCACAGCTAACTATAATCAGCCTCTAGCCCTATAATGGTGGAGGTCTTGTGATTTCCTGCAGCTGTGCCAGTTGTTGAGAATGCCAGCAGCTGAATCCCTTCATGGAAGATGCTGAGAGAGACAGTATAGTGGAGGAAAGGATGTGAGTTTTGCAGTCAGATCAGTACTTGAATCGAGATCTCAACTTATCAGTTACTTGACTGGACATGCCCTCCCTGAGACGCCATTTCTTTATTGCAAAAATGAAAATAATAAAACCTACCTCTTGGGGCCAAGTGTGGATCAGCATGATGCACTTGGAAAGTAACTGGAATAAATATTCCTTGTTTTCCTTGTCCTGCATCCTGTCCTCTTTCTACGGCAATGCCTTGGCTTTTCCGTGGGGGACCACTGCCCCCCTCTTGGTCAATGTGGTCTGATTAGGTGACTCTACTTTTCCTCTGAGGTGGGAGGATGCCTTAGCCAAATCAGGCCCAGTAGAATCTCAGTGATTGGTTCAGTGATGAACACTTGACCAAGTCTGGGCCAATGAGAATTGGCCTCAGAACTCTTCCTGGTACCATTGGGATAGAAGCCTCCTGTTCCCTGGAGCAGCCCCGTGGCTGAAATATGAGCCAAGGGCTGTGGCAGCCATCTTGCCACAACAATGGAAGGGGAGCTTAGAATGATTTCAACATTGAAGAAAATGGGGCTGAGGGAGGGAGAGAGCAAGGCCCTAGACAACTTGTGATACCTGGATCCGGCTGTAACAATTTGATCAACTCCCACTTTTCAGATGCCAGAGGTGATAAATTCTCTCTTTGGCTTTCTTCACTGTGAGATGGCTACTGTTATGGGCTAAAATGGGTGTCCCTCCTCCTCAACAAATTCACGTGTTAAAGCCCTAATGTCCAGTACGCAGAACGTGACTGTATTTGGAGATAGGTCCTTTAAGGAAGGGATGAGGTTGTTGACATGAGACTATTAGGGTGTGCCCTAATCCAATCTGACTGGTGTCCTTATAAGAAGAGGAAATTAGATGCACACACAGCAGAGACTCACAGAAATATACAATGCAAGGACACAGTGAGAAGGCAGCCGTATGCAAGCTAAGGAGGCCTCAGAAGAAACTAAACCCACCAATGCCTTGATCTTGGGCTTTTAACCTCCAGTACTGTGAGAAAATAAATTTCTATTGCTTAAGCCACCCGGTTGGTGGTAATCTGCTCTGGCAGCTAGTAACTAACACAGCTCCCAGGGGACACTTGACTAATACAGCTTTCTTTTCCTGCAATCTAAGGGAGAACCGTAAATGGCAACTTTTCAATACTGGATAGGAACACACCAAGGGTTTCAGAGATGGGAGGGAATAGGGTGCTGAAGTAGTCAGAAAGGGCTTCGTGGCGGGTGAGTGGGAGTAAAACCCAGGCTGGGCTTTAAAGAATCAGTAGAGAAGATAAAGGCATCTAAGTAGAAGGAACGACCCATGTGGGAAATAAGATAACTAAGCCAGCTGACCCAGCCGGATAGTGGCTGAAGGAGAAAAGGAAAACTGGATAAATGTTGAAGGGCCAAATTATGGAAAGTCTTCTCAAGTCCACAGTGGGGAGTTTGAAATGTACGTTGTAAAGGACAAGAATTCATTGTTGGTGTTGGGGCAGGGGAGTCACAACTTGAAGGTGGTGTTTAAGGAAGCTTAGCTGACTACAGAGACAGGGAGAGAGCAAAATCAGGGAAGTCATCTCTGAAACATTGGATTCCTGTCAGGTTCCCATTGGGAGATGGGGAGGAGATGACCCACCAGTCTGCTTGAGACGAGGTCCTCCTTCCGAGCAAAGGAGCAGTCTCAGTGGGTGTTGGGGAGGCTGATGGGAGGCTTTGAGGTTAGATTTGGTGACAGCTTTAGTTTATTAATGTTCTCTGCCCTTCCCCCAAGGAAGACAGCTGGATGCTATCATCATTGTGAAGGGGATCCAGCTAACCTACTCCACCACTGCTGTCCCACCTCTAACATCCATCTCTGTCACAGCTTCCCAGCTCCACTAACCGCCGTGGCCTTTTGCCTAATGCAGACATTCAGATCTTACTATCCCAGCAAAACCCTGGTAGGTCCAAAGCACCCTCCAAGCCCAGCCCCATCCTGGGAGAGGAATAAAGTCACCTTCTTTCTACCCTCACAGGGCCTTCCATGATGGCAAATCCACAGAAACCAGTACTAGAGGCCCTTTCATCCAACAAGTATTTGCATATATTATGTGCCAAGCACTGTGATAGGCACGAAGGATACAAAGATGAAATTAAAGTAAGACTCAAGTGGAATTCCACAGCAATTAAGATAGTATGGAATTGTCACGAGGATAGGCAAATAGACCAATGGAACAAGATAGAGTCCAGAAACAGACCCACACATATATGGCCTATTGATTTACAACAAAAGTGACATTGCAGAGCAGTGGGGAAAGGATGGTCTTCTGAATAAATGATACGGGGTCAACTCAATATCAGTAAGAAAGGTAAAAAGAAAATAAGATGATTCCTACCTTATGCCATATACAAAAATCAATCCCTAGTGGACTACAGATCTATAAAGAAAAACAAAACAATAAAGCTTCCAGAAGATAGCACAAAAGCACTACCCATAAAGGAAGAGATAGATAAATTTAACTTCATTAAAATTAAGAATTTCAGTCCATCAAAAGACACTATCAAGAGAATCAAAAGCAAGCAACATAATAAGAGAAGATTGTTTGCCAAACATGTAACCAGCATAGGATTTGTATTCAGAATACATAACTCCCAAAGATTAGTTGTTTTTTTTTTTTTTTTTTAAAGGCAAACACACACATAAAAATGGGCAAGAGATTTGAACTGGCACTTCAAAAAGGAGATTCCAAAGATTCAGTAAACATATGAAACTGTTGACCTCATTACTAATTGGTGAGATGCAAATTAAGGTCAGAATGAATTACCTTAAAAACCTGTCAATCCCCAGTGTCAGTGAGCTGTGAAGCAACAGTTACTGTCATACACTTCTGGTGGGAAGGTAAATTATAAAATATAGGAATATACTTTGACCCAGAAAGACCACTCCTAGGTTTCTCTCCAAGAGAAAGAACTATGTGTACAGGAAGACCAAGAGACATGGACAACAGTGTTGATGGTAGTACTCTTTATAATAAACAAAAGCAAGAGATTATCCAAATGTCCATCAACAATAGATTACATAAATACATTTGGTATGCTCCCACGATGTAGTGCTATACTGGATTAGGCCATTCTTGCATTACTATAAGAAAAACCTGAAACTGGGTAATTTATAAAGAAAAGAGGTTTAATTGACTCATGGTTCCATAGGCTGTACAGAAAGCATGATACTGGCCATCTACTTGGCTTCTGGGGAGGCCTCAGGAACCTTATAGTCATGGCGGAAGGTGAAAGGGGAGCATGCATGTCACATGGCAAAAGCAGGAGCAAGAGAGTGAGTGGGGAGGTGCTACGAACTTTTAAATGACCAGATCTTACAAGAAGTCACTCACTATCATGAGATCAGTGCCAAAGAGATGGTGCCAAATCATTCATGAGAAACACCCTCATGATCCAACCACCTCCCACCAGGCTCCACCTCCAATATTGTGGATTACATTTCAATATGAGATTTGGGCAGGGACACACAACCAAACTATATCATATACCAAAATGAAAATACACAAATTACAGCTACATGTCACACATGGATAAATCTCACAAATCTAAGCAATAGATAGAACTAACTGTAGGGCTAGAGTTCATGGGAGCTGTTCCTGGAAGGGAAGAAGAGGGCTAAGAATTGACAGGGGGTCTGGGAGGATTTTCTGGAATGCTGGCAATGTCTGGGCAATGAATACACAGGTGTTTTGTTGTATAATAATCCGTTGCACTTTATACTGTATGTTTTGTGCAGTTTTATGTCGTTAAAGTGAACTAAAAATGGTCTGAGAAGGACTCCATACTTCTATATTTCAGTCCTTGTGGATGAACTGCGACCTAACTTAATAGGTAGACAGGATTGAAAACCTAACTTAGGAGTATGCACCTGTAACAATAGCTGAGTCTTGGCCAATCCCAGCCGCCATACTTCAACCACTCATACACTGCTGAGCGTTCAAACTGTGTTCAAATAAGGCAAATGCCAACCTGTAACCAATCCAGCTGTTTCTGTACCTCACTTCTGATTTCTGTATGTCACTTCCCTTATTTTGATCTATAAATTTGTTCTGACCAGGAGGCGTCCCCGGAGTCTCTCTGAATCTGCTGTGATTCTGGGGGCTACCCGAATCACAAATCATTCATTGCTCAATTAAACTCCTTTAAATTTAATCTAGCCCAGCTGCAGCTGCAGTTTTTCTTTTAATAATGTATATGTGCTATACTTTACAATATTTTTAAAGTCAACAAAAATTGTGGTGTATGCCATCAACCAGTTAACAGCTGAATTGGGGAAAGAGAAAAGAAAACAGGCATTCATGACACAATGAAATCAATGCTATGATGAGCCTGTCCCAGCTCTGCCGCAACCTACTCATGTGGTAGCAAGTGACTTAAACTCTCTCAGCCTTCTTTTCTTCTTGTATAAAATGGGAATGATAACCATACCGGTCTCATGGGTCTGTGAGAATTAAATGAGGTAACAGAAGTAATACAGCTAGAATATACATTGTATATGGTAATCAATCAATCTTTTTGTTAGCTATTACTATCATCATTATTAGTACCACCACTACTAGTACTACCAGTAAGAGAACAATCATTACTAGTATCACCTCCACTAGTACTACCACCACCAGTAGTACCACTTTCACTACAACTACCACAAGAACTCAAGGAGGAGAGAGTGGAGTTCCCTGCATCTCTTACATCTGCTCTTTACCACTCTCCAGCCAGCTGGTGTCCCTGGGAAGATGGAAGAGGAAACCATTGAGTTACTTTCCCCTCTCTTCCCCCAGGGTCTTCAAATCAGCCATAGCAATCAATTCTCAATTCTCAATCACTTCTCACATTTTGCTCAAAAGCTGGCAAAGGAAACACTAGAGCCACTACCAATGCCCAGGTTCTCTTACCATGCCAGTGCCCTGTATACAGCAGGTGCTCACTATATGCTTATTGAATGCATGTAGACTAAGGGGATGAGGATAAATGAGAAAGTGGGTGAGTGAGCAGAGCCAGCTGAGTAGCACGAAGGAACCCCATGTGTTATCAACAACCATCAACAGAAACGGAGGCACCACCTGTCCTTGAGCCTTCTCCTTTTCTATCCTCGTGGCCAGATTCCTGGCCCTCCTCTGCTTCTCATCCTGCTCAAACCTACTGGCCACCCAGACTAGAGGCCACGCAGTGACCTGCTGAGCCACCTACTGCTCAGATGGCAATGTAACAGAGTCGCTATTTATCTTTGTTACTGCTGTGAGTGTCCAAGAAAAAACAGCCTCAAAGATCACGTCTGTTAGGATAACCTATTGATTTGTGTCACGTTTCTCCCAATCCCCATTTTATTGTTGTTCAAGACGGGGTCAGGGTAGGTCAAAAATAACTCTTTCCAATGGAGGCAACAGACTGAGAAATTCTAACAGGAATTTAAAATTCTCTAAAAGACATGGGCCAGGGAGGCAATGGAAGAGTGAAGTGTCCCAACCCCAAATTAGAGACTGTGGGAGGGAGGGTCCGAATGAGGTCTGCAACAGACAAGCTTAGGGAGAAAAGGAAAAATTAGGAAGATAGAATGGATTTGCATCTTAGGATCAACACCCATTGCAAGCTTTTAGAAGATGTTTAAAACTTAGTTTTTCATACTGGCCAAACCAGTTTGCTGAATATAGTCTAAGTGTTAGCCAGTGATCCTATGATCAAGGAAGAGGTAGGTACTTCATTAAAATTAAGAACTTCAGTCCATTAAAGTTTGTAGCTCTCTATGTTTAGAGCTAGGAAAGCCCACTCATTTGCGAAATACTTCATCTATAGTAGGGGTCGGCTGTATCCACCTGCAACCAAATCCAGCCACTGGCTGTTTGTAAATAAAGTTTTATTGGAACTCAGTCATGCCCATTTATTTACCCATTTATCTACGGCTGTTTTGCTACAACAGTAGAGTTGAATTGTGGTGATAAGGGAAAATATGATCTGCAAAGACTTAAATATTTACTATCTGGCAATTACAGAAAAGTTTGCTGATCCAAGGTCTATAGGATCTAAGTAAATTCTCACAACCTCATTTTACATAAGGAAGGTTTAACTCATAAGGGTTAAATAAACTTGGTCAAGATCAGGTTCAAGGATGGTATTGAGATTGGAATACATGTCTGCTTGATGCAAAAATTTTACCTGAGATGTGTGCTACTTTCTACAGGAGAAGATATTATGATCACTCTCAGTAATATTACCTACAAAAGTCAAACACCTATACAAATCACGTCTATACCAGTCAAATTTGGCCCAAAGGCTGTCCAAACCCTACTGTTTTGCCAAAATGTCATTCTGTGGAGAAGTTTTTGAGGTGAAGATACCATCTTAGGTTTAGAAATAATTTGGTTCTACTGAGATTTCAGGGCAATGCCATTCATCATAAAGTTAACTTACCATCCATTTCATCTTGAGAACTCCTACTTGCTCCTTAGCTTTCACCAACAATGACCAGCTGGATGAGAAACAAATACAAAATCTCTTATTGGAAGCTAAGATGAGGCATGAAAAAGCAATGCCAAGGCACAATCTATAGCAATTTGGGATAAAACCCAAGGATTCTATGACTTTGTCTTTCATCTTCACTCCCTTTCCTGGCAATACAGTCATTCCCTAAGACACTGGGCAAGGCTGGTACAATATTCAGGGTGAGGGAGGTGGGAAGTTGTAGAAATATTCGGAATGCAATGCTCTCCAAAATGTCTCTGATTCTTGTGTCACTCACGGGAAAAACTCACTGTGATCAGAACGAAAAGAGGAAATACGCTAATGCTTGATTTCAGGAGAAAATAGTCACTACATAAGACAGGGTGAAGAGACAAATACAGAGGGACTTGGAAAGGACATGACATCAGCATCTCTAGAGGGATTGTTTAAGGACAGTTAGAGGGACACCTCATAGAAATGTGATTTTCGAGCAGCTACTAGTTCCCTGGAACTCCAATGTAAGACCCTGGTCCCAGGTGCCTTGTAGATCTGTACTTTTGGAGTGATATTGTACCACATTGTGAGCAGCCTGACAGCAGCATGGTCATGAAGCTTGAAAAGAATGATGCCTGGGAATTGCAGAAGGATCTCAAAAGGTAAAGAATAGACAACCACGAGGGCATTTCACTGGGTGATGTGGAATAAAGTCCACCAAAGCAAATGATGGTCGGCTCCCCATCACTGGCAACCCTAATTCTGAAGCGAAATAGCTTTAGGAATGTGACTCTTCCAGAGTCAACCTGGGGACCCCAATAGATACCAATCTTACCTATCTTTGAAGTAGGATGCCCCAGGTTAAACCAGCTTTTTTTCAGCTGACCCAAACTTCCTGACTCTCTTCCTACAACTCAATTCCTCCCTTGGATAATCCTGGGGCCAGGCTTCTCTTCCCACCTCCTATTGAGCTTGACTGTGTGCACACCCCATCTTCCCCATGCAGCTGCCCCAGTGCAGGATCGCTTGCTGGAGAGCAGCACTGGCTGCAGACACAAGATCAGTTCCCAGGTCCACCTCTGCCCCTGTTGCAACCCCAGAGAAAGCTTAGTTACAGCAGTGGGAAAGCCAGGAAGACCCAGGCATGGGCAAAGGCATGACACTGATTAAAAACACACAAGGAAAGACAAAGGGATGAGATAGTGAAAACATCATTGAAAACAATCTCAATTTACTTTGTTTCTTCAAACTTCCAACCTTACTACTAAAAGGAAACTAAGAGAAACAAACCAAATACACATTCAAGATGGAAAATGATATGCATCTTTCATCTCAAACCTAACCCTGTTTTTGCTCCCCCTTGAGACATCTCTTTCTAATGGAAGAAATTAAACCCCGTGAGTCTTTAAATGCTGCTGGGGGTGAGCATATTCAGGTCAGAAGCAGCGCTGGTCCCAGGCAGAGGCACCTCAGGAGTTAACCAGGGGTATTTATTTACAGGTTAAAGAGGCAAGCTCCAGAGTGAACGGCTGCGTTGAGGCGATGCTGAGTGTAAGCTAACAAGACGCTCTCTCCAGTGGCATTCTGGGCGATTACTCCCGAGCACCCAGCCATACCAAAATCAATAAACAATTTCAGCACAGCCCAGGGAACTTTGCCACACTTAATAAAAGTCTCCAGCTGCAGTTATGGCTTCATTTCACCTTAACGTCTTCTTTAACTGTCCCTTCTTTTCAAGATCAATTAGAGGTACATGCAAAGAGAATAAAGAAATACACATGCAAGTGCACACACACACACACACACACATACACATACCAGAAGCAAACAAGGTCAAAACTAGCTATATGGGCCAGTGGGCTCTCCCCTCTCCACTCATAATTTCTACTTTAAGATGACCCACAGTAAGTCAGTCTGTGGGGTGCAGTTGGGTTTGCGGAGAAAGAAGGAGGGAGGTGAGGGATTAGTCCACATTGCCCAAGTACAGATGACTACTCCAATATGAAAGGCACCCTTACTAGATTTCCAAGGATCTCTTCCTCTCCGAAAAGCACCCATGATTTTTTGCTTTTGGCTATTTCGTTACCCCTGGAATATCCACTTAAGAATGGATCAAAATAGGGAGAGAAAACGAGGCCAAAATATGTTAATGTTATTGTTAATGCCTTCAGTTAAAGGGCTGAGAGGCGTTGCTTGGGGTAAACAGGCTGGAGGGAAAAGAAGAGACACAATTTAACCTGTTAGCTAAAGTGACGTGTAGTGCTGGGTTGTCTGTGTGTTTCATTGTCTCAGATCCCTTAGAAGCCCATCAGAACACTGGGTCTGGAACTGGGACTAGCGCTTGCCTAACTGACCAGTCTCATCAGCCATTTTCCAGCCCTGATTGAATATGTGACAAATATAAATGAAAATCTGTTTGATTTTGTAATAAATGGTCCCAGTGTGTGTTACAGCCGCTACATCTGAAAGTTCATTCTATATGCACATCTCTACATGCACAAACTCTGCCCTCTCACTTTAGAAAATTACCGGACTCTGGAAGATGAACTGCTCACCCTTTTAGGAAGTCAATAACACTAAATAATTCATAATCTTTCTTGGATTCTTTACCAGTAAATAGTGTGGTCAGAAACAAGTAGAAAGCTCCGTCTGCAGGAAGCACAAAGGTGGCTGGGCACGGTGGCTCACGCCTGTAATCCCAGCACTTTGGGAGGCCGAGGGGGCAGATTACCTGAGATCAGGAGTTTGAGACCAGTCTGGTCAACGTGGTGAAACCCCGTCTCTACTAAAAATACAAAAATTAGCCACGTGTGGTGGTGGGCGCCTGTAGTCCCAACTACTCGGAAGGCTGAGGGAGGAGAATCGCTTGAACTCAGGAGACGGAGGTTGCAGTGAGCCGAGATCGTGCCATTGCATTCCAGTCTGGGCAACAGAGCAAGACTCCATCTCAAAAAAAATTTTTTTTTAAAGCACAAAAGTAAAGACCTTCTGTGAACAAACACACTTTAGCAAAACAGGAGTCACTCAGATAACAGGAAGAGATATGATATTAGGACATTTGAGTGAAAATGGAAATGGTGATGTCCCCTCCCCTTCCTTCCCCCTTTTCCAACTGTCACCAGCTCTACAAGAGTAAGCTCCAAGAGCAACTCTTGCGAGCCGCCTTCCTTCCGGTGGAAAAGACCTTCAGGAAGAGACACTGGCTTTGATTGCATAATTGTGGCTCCTCTCTTTCCCTGTATTCCAAAGGCACCCTTACCATTGGACAGGCGAAATGAGCACGTGGAGAGTAAGGGGAAGCCTTTTACCATGGGCCTTAGTCCCAGAGTCCTCTCTGCTTCCAGGCGCGTCAGTTCCTTCGCCCTGACTCTCTGAGCTACAGTCGTTCTCCAGTTTTCCGAGGACTTGCCTCCAGTCACCGTGGCCGCTGCATCCTCTACTCAATTCTCCACCTTCTTTCTCCAACTCTAAACATTCTCATTCTCACCTGCCTTTCCCAGCAGACTCTTCAATCTTACCAAGTATATCTTCCATCAAGCTTTGGAACACCCCAGGGCATTTGGGAGGAGAGAAGGCCTTAGAGAAGTAATTATAGCAAAGTTCCCAAGTCCTCCTGCCAGCCTAGAAAGTGGCTCTGTTTAAAAGATCCATTTATATGGGGTAGAAAGAATAATTGTGAGGCATTTGGCAACTTTGAATGCCATTATAAGAGGTTGGAATGCTAAAAATCAGAGTTTGGTAGAACACCACAGAAATAAAGCCGATGTTCTAAATTTGTTTATTTTTATTTCAAGACCAAACTAGACATGTCAACAAGTGAATCATAGAGTTGCCCATGCACTAGGCATCTCCTCAGGTTCCGGTGCCTTTTATCGCTCACTCGGCATGACAGGTCCACGACCAAGTTAACACATTAGGCAGGAAATCCTAAAGCTACCGGTAGCTAACATAGAACAAGCCACAGGTACACCTACCTTTCTAAAACTCAGTCAATAAACACATTTGTAAAAATATTCCACAAAATGAAGACTGATCTGCAGCTTCCAGCAGAAAAACACAACTACAAAGGTGTGTGTTCTTATGCCTTCCTCATGCCTCTATCCTATTTAATATTTTCATGGTGAGCATTCTGTCCTTTGATATCCTACAGGAGCTCAGGATGTGCAAGTATCTTTATACGCAACCTTCACAAGCAGAGAAACACTCGTTTAAAAAATAATCAACTGGGAATCTGGTTAGAGTAAGGCTTAGCTACTGAGGACTACGAAAGGCAAAGTGGAGATTAGTACAAAATACATTAGCTGGCTGGAAATGGAAGGTAATTGGACACCTGGGTGTCTGAAGACCTCCTTTATTTTGAGAAATACGTAAGACTTGCAGGACAGCAAACCTTCAAGTGGTGATTCAAATGGTCTAATTCACCAAATTCACAAATGACAAGATCTATTCTTTGTATGTTTTCTGATCTCTCTATGGTTCTGTATATCACACAGAGCTTTGAAATATATATTTGGAACCACACAACATACATAGAAACTGACTTCAGCTATAAATCAATTCGTGGCTTACTGATTACTTTTTAAAGGAAATTATCTGAAAATTAAGTGAAAATCAGTCACAAGAGATGACTGAAAATCTTTTTGTGATAAAAGAAAAGACTAGAAATAATCAGACAATGGGCTGACCTGGACTTACCCAACCCAGGCTACCTCCAACACCCGCCATCATCCCGCACCATAACATATGTCATATACCACATATCAGTTGATCACTGCACACCCTCCTCTCAACTAAACCCACTCAGCGGCTAATACTTGGGGCTCTGTATTGCCAAGACTAGTACTTCACTCTGTGGTTACTCCTTCAGGGCATGCCCTATTAACTCATCCCATCCATCCCAAGACCTGCAGGAAGATTGAAACATCTGCACTAAAGGCATTAGGGGCTTGACTCTTACAACATTCTATTAGTGAGGGACTCTGATTCTCAGTGTCCTACTGTTGAGCTGTGTTGACTCCCTGTTGGGCCAAGAAGTAGCATGAGTCCTTTCTTGGTTCTTCAGGGCAAATGATGAACAACTACAAGGACTTTTTTTTTTCCACATGACAAAGAGGTTCATGCTAGTAACCTCCTGAGAAGGTTAAGGATTACTGAAATTCATATTCATAAGCTTGCATTAGCACATTCCCAGAGTTCACTAGGAACTTCTACTCTAGGGTCTCCAAAGCCATCTGGCATCTGTGCAGTCCTTGGCCAAACGGCACAGCCACTCCTGAAAATGCTTGCTCAGAGGCAGGATTCCCCCAGCTTTCCAAAAGGACAGTCCTACCAAGTGCATCTTCAGTCACCAGTGTTCTCTTAGAGTCAGTCAGGTTTTCAAGCGTTGTCATTTTTCCCTTTGAATTGTGAATTACTGTTGGCTTCGCTTCAAAAATATCAGCTTAGTTTGTTATGAATCCTGTAATGTCTTCTGATGCCTATTTGCAGATCTACTTGGTAGAGTTTCCAAGCCTTTCTCCAATTACTTGACTTAAAGACCTGTATTTTTGCTATTCAAATGGTAATCATTCATACCTCTCATGGTAAAAGATATATTCATGACCCCCTCACCACCATCACCCTTAACACACACACACACACACACACACACACACACACACACACACACACACACACAAAATTTCCTTATACAGAGACCCGGGGCTGCAATCACTGAGCTCTTTTTTTCCATTAGAAACTGCAAACAGGTAGGTGATCAGCCAAAGTCATGGATTCTAGACCCTTCCACGAGCACACGGGGTTCTGGGACATCAACATTTAATAGCAGAGATATAACATCTGTGGGAAATTATATATTTCTTAGTGGCATCAAATTTTCCCATGAAGTCAATCAAGATTAAAGAAAATGGCAGTACACATTTTAGAGTCCTCCTGTGATTAAAAAAAATTCCCCAATACTGTAATGTTTTCTTTTATAGAAATTCTGAAAGTTGTTCCAGTCTTGTGAGACAGTTCACAGAAGAGCTGTGCCCGTATCATGCGCAGCCCAAGTCCTTTCTAAAGGTTGAATGAGGAAAAAGTGTGCAGGAAAAGGGAGTTTGTTGAAAACTAAATGATCTAAGAAAATCAATATTGCATCTAAGACCCTTAGCCTGGCAGTTGTACTGGACGATCCTCTCTCCAAAAGTCTTGTTCTCTGCACCAAGCACTCTAACAGGCTCATCTCTCCCCCATTCTCCATGAAGAAGGATGACCTCTTTCTTCAGTAACACCCTTTTCTTACAAAGGCTTGCTTCTATTTTGTCAACTACCACAAGACGTAAGTTGGAGCAACTTCCAGAATTCAGACCAAAGGCAACTGAAATTCACCTGTAGATGAGCCAAATCTCAGATGGGAATGGAAGTCCCCAGCCATTCCCCCACCAACTTCACACCTTTCAGCCCCAGCATAGCCTGTTTGATTGTTGACTTGCTAGGGTTGTTGTTATATTTGAGCTATTATACACAACACGGGGATTTATTTATATATGTGTATACATACACGCATGCATTTACAAACATGTATACGTGTGTATATATGTACACTCTTTGTTACATCCTTTGTCAGGTACTCACTATGTGCAAAGTATTTTCTTAGGGTAAAAAGAGACAAGAGGGTAAGAAATGTGAGTGTGTGTGTAGAAATCCAAAGATGAATAAAAAGGCAACACCTGAAAAACCATTTGGCAATATGCATACCAAAACTGAACAAATGCCTAGCCTATGACCCATCAATCCAGCCCCTTGCTCTGCGTACATAAACTCACCAAAAGAATGCACAGGAGCATTCCTAGCAACACTATTTGTAATAGCCCCAAACTGGAAACAAACAGTTCATTAATGGTAGACAGAACATCTAATTGTGGTATATTTATACAATGGAATAATGTATCTCAATGAGAATGAGCAAATTACTGACACATACAACAGATTGGGTGAATCTCACAGACATGATAATGAGCAAAAGAAGCCAGACCAAAAGAGTACATGCCGTGTGCTTCCATTAGCGTGAAGTTTAAAAACAGGCAAACCTGATCTATGTCTTTACAAGTACAGAAAGTGGTTATCCTTGGAAGGGGATAGTGTCTAAAAGCGGGGCAGGTAGAAGAATGGCTTTTGTGTGCTGGTAATGTTCTATTTCTTGATCTGGGTGCTATTTATATATTTGTGCTGCTTTGTGAACATTCACCAAACCAAACTCTAAGGTTACGTATTTTTCAGTATGTGCAACTTACTTCAATCAAAATACAATCACTACCCTTCAGATTATAACTGGATACAAAGAAAAATGAGCACAAGGATAACTTTAATAAATTTAAAAACTATCACCAGGGTTTTTAGCTAATTAGAACACTTTTCAGCTTCAAGTAACAGCAAAATCAACTTAACTGGCTTAATCTAGAACAGCTAAGAAAGGGCTTCACATACTATGAAGTCCAGGGCAATAACAGGATTGACTAACTCACGGTCCAACAAAATCTAGCAACACTGGTTCTTTCTTTTTCCTTTTTTTTTTTTTTTTGAGATAGAGTCTCGCTCTGTTGCCCAGGCTGGAGTACAGTGGCACAATCTCAGCTCACTGCAACCTCCTCCTCCCAGGTTCAAGTGATTCTCCTGCCTCAGCCTCCTGAGTAGCTGGGATTATAGGCATGTGCCACCACGCCCAGCTAATTTTTGTATTTTTTAGTAGAGACGGGGTTTCACCATGTTGGCCAGGCTGGTCTCAAACTCCTGACCTCATGATCTGCCCGCCTCTGTCTCCCAAAGTGCTCAGATTACAGGTGTGAGCCACAGCACCTGGCCAAGAACTCTGGTTCTTTCTATCTTCTGCTCATCCGTCCACCCATCCTTGGGCTACCTCCCTTTGATTTATAAGGTGGCTGCCATGATTCTAAAAATCATATCTATGCAGATAATATTCAGCAGTACTCTTTCTTCCATAATATCTTTCTAAAAGCCTTTCCCAGGATGCTATGCTCTTGTCTAGCAAACATCTCCTCATAATTCATTGGCCAGAAATATATCACATGACCACTCCTGCACCAGTCATTGCCAAGGGAATTGGGGCCACTATGAATGACTTCAACTAAACAGGATTTGACCTGACTCAAAATAGGGATGACCACCCAAACTAAACCAGGGATCTGCCATCAAGAAGCAAAGGGGGAAAGGCTATTGGGTGAGCAATAAGCAGGCACACAAAGTATAATGTGGGTTTGGATGAAGAGAGGAGCATCTGGCTGAGAAACTCAAAAATGATGTCATGGGGAAGGTGGATTTTGGGATAGGACCTGGAGGATGCAAGGATTTTATAAAGTGGAGACGGGACCTGGGGTATAATTTCAGGCTGGCTGGCCAAGGTGTGAAAGTCTGACAGGTGTTCAGGGCACAGCAAATATTAGTCCAGTTGGGTCTGTTTAGGGCTATATGTAGGAGCATCTTGGGCGCTTAACTGTGGAGTGAGCACTTAATTTGAGGTACTAAAATCACTGAAAGTTTCTTAGAAGGAATGTCACCTGTACAGAGACTTAGCAGTGGTGGTATAAAGGTTTGTTTTATTGTAATGTATTAGTTATCAATTACCGTGTAACAAATTATCCCACCTTAGTGGCTTAAATTAACAAATTTTAATTATCTCAAAATTTCTGTGGGTCAAGAATTTGGGAGTCACTTACCTGGGCCGTTCTGTCTCATGGTCTTTCATGAGGTTGTAGTGAAGGTGTTTTCCAGGTTTGCAGATGTGACTGGGACTGAGGGATCCAATTCCGAGGTGGCTCACTCAAGGGCTGCTGAAAGGAGGCTTTAGATCTTTGTCACATGGGTCTCACCATAAAGCTGCTTGATCTTTTTTTTTTTTTTTTCTTTTTTGAGATGCAGTTTCACTCTTGTTGTCCAGGCTGGAGTGCAGTGGCACAGTCTCAGCTCACTGCAACCTCTGCCTCCTGGGTTCAAGCAATTCTCCTGCCTCAGCCTCCCAAGTAGCTGGGATTACAGACACCTGCCACCACACCCAGCTAGTTTTTGTATTTTTAGTAGAGATGGGGTTTCACCATGTTGGGCAGGCTGGTCTTGAACTCCTGACCTCAGGTGATCTACCTGCCTTGGCCTCCCAAAGTGCTAGGATTACAGGCATGAGCCACTGCACTTGGCCTTGGCTGCTTGATCTTCCTCACAACATGGCAGATGTTTCCTCCAGAGTGAGTGATACCAGGAAGTGGAAAAAGAGGAAACTACAATGTCTTCTATGACTTCCCTTCAGAAGTTATCAAGTTTTGGGTAAAATATGACTTCTGCCATATTCTGTTCATTATAAGAGAGACTCAGTAGAACCTACACACAAGGGATAGGAAATTAAGTACCACCTTTCAAAAGGAGGAATATCAAAGAATTTGTGAACATATTTTTTTTCTTCCCCAACTTGCACCAGCCCACAACCACCCCAGCCCCTGGTAACCACCATTCTACTCTGTATTTTCATGAAAGCAATCCCCCTAGATTCTACAGATGAATAAGTTTGTGTAGTATTTGTCTTTCTGTGCCTGGCTTATTTCACTTAATATAATATCCTCCAACTTCATCCATGTTGTTGCAAGTGACAAGATTTCTTTCTTTTGTATGGCTGAATGGTATTTCATTGTGTATATATACCACATTTTCTTTATCCATTAATCCTTTGATAGACACTTAGGTTAAGTCCATATCTTGGCTATTATGAATAGTGCTGCAGTAAACATGAGAGTGCAGATATCTCTTCAACATACTGACTGCATTTCCTGTGAATATATTCCCAGTAGTGAGACTGCTGGATCATATGGTAATTTTATTTTTAATTGTTTGAGAAACTTTCATACTGTTTTCCATAATGGCTGTACTAACTTACATTCCCACCAGCAGTGTGCAGGGGTTCATATTGATAATTATCATTTTGATAATAGCCATCCTAACAGGTGTGAGGTGATATCTCATGGTTTTCATTTATACAGGCTTTGGTTACATGGTCTAGATGATCATGGTTAGTGGTTAGTGGTGCTTTCTGATATTTTAGTGCACCTGTCACCAAAGCAGTGTACACTATACCCAATATGTAGTCTTTTATCCCTCACCCTGTTCCAACCTTCCCCCTCAAGTCCCCAAAGTCCATTATATCATTCTTATACCTTTGCATTCTCATAGTTTAGCTCCTGCTTATAAGTGAGAACATACAATATTTGGTTTTCCATTCCTGAGTTAATTCACTTAGAATAATGGCCTCCCGCTCCATCCAAGTTGCTGCAAAAGACATTATTTCATTCCTTTTTATGTCTGAGTAGTAGTCCATGGTGTATATATACCGCATTTTCTTTATCCACTCCTTGACTGGTGGGCACTTAGGCTAGCTCCTTACCTTTGCAATTGCAAATTTTGCTGCTATAAACATGCGTGTGCATGTGTCTTTTTCATATAATGACTCCTTTTCCTTTGGGTATATACTCAGTAGTGGCATTGCTGAATTGAATGCTAGATATACTTTTAGTTCTTTAAGGAGGCTCCACACTGTTTTCTATAGTGGTTGTACCAATTTACATTCCCAACAGCAGTGTAAAAGTATTCCCTTTTTGCCACATCCATGCCAACATCTATTGTTTTTTGACTTTTTAATTATGGCCATTCTTGTAGGAGTAAGGTGGTATCTCATTGTGGTTTTAATTCGCATCTGCCTAATGAAGAGTGATGTTGAGCATTTTTTCATACAGTTGTTGGCTGTTTATATATCTTCTTTTGAGAAATGTATTCATGTCCTTTGCCCACTTTTTGATGGGATGATTTGGGGGGTTTTTTGGTGATTTGAGTTCCTTGTAGATTCCAGATACTAGTCCTTTGTTGGATCCATAGTTTGTGAATATTTTCTCCCACTCTGTGGGTTGTTCATTTACACTGCTAATTATTTCTTTTGCTGTGCATAAGCTTTTTAGTTTAGTTAGGTCCATTTATTTATTTTTATTTTTGTTGCACTTGCTTTTGGGGGGTTAGCCATGAATTTTTTGCCTAAACCAATGTCCAAAAGAGTTTTTCTGATGTTATTATCTAGAATTTTTATTGTCTCAGATCTTAGATTTAAGTCTTTGATCCATGCTGAGTTGATTTTTCTATAAGGTGAGAGATGGGGATCCAGTTTCATTCTTCTACATGTGGCTTTCCAGTTTTCCCAGCACCATTTATTGAATAGGGTGTCCTTTCCCCAATTTATGTTTTTGTATGCTTTGTCAAAGATCCGTTGGATATAAGTATTTGGCTTTATTTCTCGGCTCTCTATTCTGTTCCATTGGTCTATATGCCTATTTTTATACCAGTATCATGCTGTTTTGGTAACTATAGCCTTGTAGTGTAATTTGAGATCAGGTAGTATGTTGCCTCCAGATTTGTTCTTTTTGCTTAGTATTACTTTGGCTATGCAGGATCATTTTTGTTCCATATGAATTTTAGAATTGTTTTATCTAGTTCTGTGAAGAATGATATTATTTTGATGAGAACTGTATCGAATCCATAGATTGCTTTGGGCAGTGTAGTCATTTTCACAATATTGATTCTTCTCATCCATGAGCATGGGAAGTGTTTCCATTTGTTTATATCATCTATGATTTCAGTGTGTCATAGTTTTCCTTGTAGAGATCTTTCACTTCCTTGGTTAAGTATATTCCTAAGTCAGGGGCTGGGCACGGTGGCTCACGCCTATAATCCCAACACTTTGGGAGGCTGAGGCAGGCAGATCACTTGAGGTCAGGAGTTTGAGACCAGCCTGGGCAACATGGTGAAACCTGGTCTCTACTAAAAATACAAAAATTAGCCAGGTGTGGTGGCGCATGCCTGTAGTTCAGCTACTCAGGAGGCTGAGGCATGAAAATCACTTGAATCCAGGAGGTGGAGGTTGCAGTGAGCCGAGATTGTGCCACTGCACTCCAGCAGTGTCTCAACAGAGTCTCGTTCTCTCACTCAGGCTGGAGTGCAGTGGCACAATATATATTAAAAATTAAAAAAATATATATATATTCCTAAGTATTTTAATTTTTTGCAGCTGTCATAAAAGAGATTGAGTTCTTAATTTGATTCTCAGCTTGGTCATTGTTGGTGTATAGCAGTGCTACTGATTTGTGTACATTGATTTTGTATCCTGAGACTTCACTGAATTCATTTATCAGATCTAAGAGCTTTTTGGATGAGTCTTTAGGGTTTTCTAGGTATATGATCACATCATTGGCTGACAGCAACAATTTGACTTCCTGTTTTCCAATTTGGATGCCCTTTATTTCTTTCTCTTGTCTGATTGCTCTGGCTAGGACTTCCAGCACTATGTTGAATAGAAGTGGTGAAAGCGGGCATCCTTGTCTTGTTCCAGTTCTCAGAAGGAATGCTTTCAACTGTATATGTGAACATATTTTAAAACCACAACAAGTGGATACTGATGTTCTGCTGTCAGCTTACCTGGCACATGTAAAGCCACAGAAGACATACCAGCAAAGGTGGCAAAGCACTTCTGGGAATGCCTGGTATTATGCAGCTATGAAATCTTGTTCCCTGTCCTCCCTAAACCCTTTTGGGTTGGTGATGTAGCCACACTCTGGCCAAAATGGATGCTCACTAGCAAGAACTTTTAGTTTCAGGTGAAAGAGTTGGGAAAGGAGCTTTCACCCAGCAAATCAGATCTTCAGCCAGCCTGTACTGACATACCTGTATTTGTCACACAGGATAATGTTTATCTCTCTAATTTTCAGAACATTATCAGGCATCTGAGAAGTACCACCTGGTTGATTGTAACACATAGTACTTTGCCCAAATGAAAATCGTGGAAAAATTCAACACTGGTCAGTATAGAATGCGCATGCTCGTAAAGTCTAAATATTTGCTTCCTCATGACTCCCACGTGAGTTGCTTAGGTAGATTTCTGGCTTGGGTTCAGAATGAAACTAAAAGTACAAAGAGCATCTTTGTCTGGCTCAGGATGTTCTCATTTTTTAATGAGATGGGAGCTCCCAAATGGACCACAACTGGTTGTCCAACCTAGGATGGTTTAAGGGAAAGGAAAGGAAGTTTCTTTAGAACAGTGGTTCTCCATGATACCAAGACTGACAGCAACAGCGACACTGAGACCAACAGCAGCACACCACCTAGAACCCTGTTAGAAATGCAAATTCTCAGTCCCACCTGGACCTATGAAATCAGCAGCTCTAGGGTGAGGCCCAGCAATCTGTGTTTTAACAAACTTTTAAGGAGATTCTAAAACATGCTTGAGTTTGAGAAACACTGCTTTAAAAAAAAGTCCTACCCGCAGCTTATTGCATGTAATTTAATCATAACTCAGTAAAGTAGCTCGGCTGGATACTTTCACTTATTCTTGTTCATGCATAAACACACCAGCACAGAAATCGCACAGACAGATCCAGACACAGGACACACATAGCACAATGAATGGCATAGACAACTGTTCATAGAGTAAGTACCAGAGCCCAAACTCCCTGACCCCTGAAAGTGGAAAATGTGTAGTGTCCTTTCAAGAAGGGTAAGGATTGGGCACAATGGCTCATGCCTGTAATCCCAGCCCTTTGGGAGGCCAACGCAGGCAGATCCGTTGAGCCCATGAGTTCGAGACCAGCCTGGGCAACATGGTGAAACCCCAACTTTACAAAAAATACAAAAATTAGCCAGGCATGCACCTACAGTCCCAGCTACTTGGGAGGCTGAGAAGGGAGGATCACTTGAACCTGGGAGGTAGAGGTTGCAGTGAACACCACTGCATTCCAGCCTGGGTGACACAGCGAGTCCCTGTCTCAAACAAAAGAAAGAAGGGTGAGGAAGAGAATGGGAAAGGGGAGAGACAGAGCAGAGAAATAGGAGAGGGAGGAGGAAGAAAAAGGACAAAATACAGCGTGTTTTCAAACATGATTTCATAAGACACAAAGTCTTTCTAAAGACAATCAGAATTCAAATGCCAGTGATCTTCACAGGAATCTTAATAAGAAAGTTAAAAATTTTTAATAATTGTATGGCTCATAAAACTCATCATGATTGAGGGTGTTGCTCACATCCTTAAAAGAATAAGCATCCCACCAGAGATGCATCTGGCACTTCAGAACTTTCTCCCAAACAACTCGTTTGCTTTTATCTCATGGACACTGTGAAGGGAATTGTTGATTATGTTTCCTTCTTTCAAGAAAACGCAGAATCAAATTAGCAAGTGAATATCAATCAGCCTTTTGTATGAGAGCCTCACGTGGCTTTGCCTCACATTTCCTGCCTTTATTTCCCCTGCCTGGGTGTCCTCCTTTGCTGCACATTTGTGCTTTTGTCAGACATTTCAAATCCTTTTAGGAATGAGGCTGGCAATAAGGAAATACGGAGAAAGGCTCTTTCCCCAAGCAAACTGGAAACCTGGGAGGAAGGGCAGTCAAGGCATGACAGCCATGGGTCCAGTCGGGTGGAGAAGCCCAAGGGGGCTCACTGATGCTGTAGGCAGTGCCTGCGGGGCAGCTTCTTTGCCTCTGGTGGAGGGTGAGTGAACAAGCCTGAAGGCAGGAGCAGAAAGGGGAAGGACAACTATTAGTGACTGAAAAGCTCTTTGCTCAAGTTGTTTCCTGGGGTTAGGAAAAGGCAGTAGGGAGAAGGAATCTGTGTTTTCTTGTTTTTTTTTGTTGTTGCTGTTTTTGTTTTTGTTTTTTTTGTTTGTTTTTTCCGAGACGGAGTTTCGATCTGTTGCCCAGGCTGGAGTGCAGCGGTGCAATCTCAGCTCACTGCAATCTCCACCTCTCGGGTTCAAGAGATTCCCCTGCTTCAGCCTCCTGAGTAACTGGGATTACAGGTGCCCACTACCACACCCGGCTAATTTTTGTATTTTTAGTAAAGACAGGATTTCACCACATTGGCCAGGCTGGCCTCAAACTCCTGACCTCAGGTGATCCACCCACCTTGGCCTCCCAAAGTGCTAGGATTACAGACGTGAGCCACAGCGCCCAGTAGAATCTGTGTCTTATAAGATGGGCTGATCTCTGTCTTCCTTAGCATTCTCGCTTTGAGACTAATCAGTATCCACACAGGATTGGCCAGCCTGATGCAGGCACCACGGATCCAAGCATTCCTCCCTGTTGGTGTAATGCACCAGGCACAGATCCAGACCACCCTGGTTCCACTCTGCTCAGAGTTCCCAGAGAGATGGGCCAGTGGCATCAGCACAGATGATTAGAGCACCTGTTCAGGTCTGGTGCAAAACCTGAGAAAATACTTGTTTTGATATCCTATCTGGTTTGGAATGGGTAGAAGGGTATTTTCCTTGGATAGCTATGTTGGAGGGACTTATTCCAGCTCTAAGGTGGTCTGATTGGACGGAACCTGGGAATCAACCACAAGCAGGGGTGTTTGGAGCTGCCCTTTCCACCAGCCAGCAGTGCCTCCCAGAAAAACTTCCATAAGCCGCTCCATCAGGACTGCAGTGCCAACCTTGACCAGTCACTTCTGAGTCCAGTTACATCCATAATGACATTTCTCCACTGCCCCCTTCACCCCCAGAGCATGACAGATGAGGGGCTTCACGGAACGAGTCCCCGAGCTGTGATGGGAATCTGTCTCGCTCCACTACAGAAAAAAATATATATCCCTGAACAGCTGTGAGGAATTCTTTCATTAGTCATCTGCATCTTACCGCTAGTCTTCGCTTCCTCTTTTTACAATAAAAACTGAAAACAGATTAAATGTCATATTCTGACAATGATTGTTTTCAAACACCCAGGCTAGGAAAGGGGAGGTGACAGAGAGAACATTAGAGAGAGAACAGAGGGTTTGTGAAGCCATGGGCCATGGAGACAAAAAGGGAGAACTGTCCCTGCACGGTGGGAGGGCACCAGGGAGTGTCCCAGGGTGGACAGATCTGCACAGTGACCACACAGGCTCAGCTCAAGACTGAATGCTTATGTTCTAAAGCTTTTTGTTGGGAGCAATTTACAACCATTGAGAAATCAGACTGGAGAAGCTATGTGGAGAGGAGAAAGTAAATTACACCATAAACAGAAATACTCACAGGTCAAAGAAAGTGCAGATAGACACCGAAAGATCATATGCTCAGCGTTGTCCACATTGGAGAAGAAACTGCAGGGTCTTTTGAGAAGGTATACACCCTTTGGCAGGTCTCACATGAAGATGCTTGCCTCTCCAGAAAGTCACCCTAAGGCCAGTGTGGGCAGGCTGCAAGGAGATCATGGGGGAAGGTGAGAGGGGGTAAAGCAACTGTCAGAGAATGCCACAATCAGCCTGGCTGGAGGAAGGGCCTGACCAACTCAATTAGTGCTGATGTGGGTCACAAAACCACCTCAGAAACAATGGATAGTGAAGTTCAACCATCTGGTCAATGGCTGGAGGACTCATTCAGCTAAAAGCACAGTGTCTGATCAGGTCTTAACTAGCCTTCATATTTAGTCATTGTATTAGTCCATTTTTACACTGCTAATAAAAACATACCCAAGACTGGGTAATGTGTAAAGAAAAAGAGTTTTAATGGATTCATAGTTCCACATGGCTGGGGAAGCCTCACAATCATGGCAGAAGGCAAAGGAGAAGCAAAGGCGTGTCTTGCATGGCAGCAGGCAAGAGAGCTTGTCCAGGTGAACTCCCATTTATAAAACCATAAGATCTCATGAGACTTATTCGAGTTAAGCCTACCACAAGAACAGTATGGGGAAAACTGTCCCATGATTCAATTATCTCCACCTTGCCCCACCCTTAACATGTGGAAAGTATTACAATTCAAGGTGAGATTTGGGTGGGGACACAGCCAAACCATATCAGTCATTCAATTCAATATAGTTTGGTGAATGTCTACTGTATTCATTTTCTTTTTTTCTTTTTTTTTTTTTTTTGAGACAGAGTTTCGCTCTTGTTGCCCAGTCTGGAGTGCAACGGCGTGATCTCAGCTCACCGCAACCTCCGCCTCCTGGGTTCAAGCAATTCTCCTGCCTCAGCCTCCCAAGTAGCTGGGATTACAGGCATGCACCACCACACCCTGCTAATTTTGTATTTTTAGTAGAGACAGGGTTTCTCCATGTTGGCCAGGCTGGTCTCAAACTCCTGACCTCAGGTGATCTGCTGGCCTCGGCCTCCCAAAGTGCTGGGATTACAGGCGTGAGCCACCACTCCTGGCCTACTGTATTCATTTTCTATGCTGCTTAACTACCACAAACTTAGCAGTTCTAAATAACACACACTCTTTATCTACAGTTTCTGCAGGTCAGAAGTTTACACACAGGTTGGCTGGTTTCTCTGTTGAAGGGTTTCACCAGCTGCTATCCAGGTGACAGCTCGGGCTGCAGTCTCATCAGAGGCTCAACTGAGGAAAGATCTGCTCCAAGCTTCTTCAGGTTGTTGGCAGAATTTATTTCCTTGTGGCTGTCAGACTGAGGGTTTCAGTTTCTTGCTGGAGTCTACCCTCAGCTCTTAGAGACTGCTGACAGTTCCTTGCCACTTGGGCTTCTCCAATATGGCCATTTATTTCATGGAAGCTTGTTCCTTCAAAGCCAGTAACAGGGAGAGGGACAGAGAGAGAGTGATAACAAGACAGACTCTTCTATAACATAACCATGGGCATAACATCTCATCACCTTTGCCACATCCTATTGGCTAGAGGCAAGCCACAGCCAAGGGGATGGGATTACACAAAGCTGTAGACCCCAAGAGGTAGGAATCATGGGACACCTTAAAGTCTGTCTGCCACACCTGCTGTTTTAGGCAACAGAGATACAACAGTGAACAATAAGCCATGTCTTAGAGGAAAGCAGCTGGAGAGAAAGAGACAGAGAGAGAGGGAATCCATAGATTAAAGAATTAAAGGACATATATTACATTAAAAGACATATCTATGAATCTCCATGAATCTCAATATCTGGTCCTCATTTGGATCCTAATTTATTTTTTATTTTTTAGAGACAGGTTCTTGCTCTGTTGCCCAGGTTGGAGTGCAGTGGCACAATCAGAGCTCATTGCAGGCTCAAACTCCTGGGCTCAAGTGATCCTCCTGCCTCAGCCTCCTAGGTATCTAGGACTGCAGGTGTGTCCACTGCACATGGCTAATTTTTCCTTTTTCTTATTTTTGTAGAGAGAAGGTCTTGCTATGTTGCCTAGACTAGTCCCAAACTCCTGTCCTCAAGTGATCCTCCTGCCTTGGGCTCCCAAAGTGGTGGGATTACAGGGATGAGCCACAACACCTGGCCTGGACCCTAATTGTTTTTAATGTAAAAAAACCCTATTATTTATGAAACAATTGGAAATTTCAATACTAACTGGGTATATGATGACATTAAGGACTTATCGTTAATTTTTAAAGTATGATCATTGCGTTTGTGAATCTTTAATGAAGAGTCCTTATCTTTTAGAAATTCATACTGAAATATTAAAGATAAAATTATGTGTCCAGGAGATTTTCTTCAAAAACACTATGACAGTGGGAGAAGAAGGTGGGGCTGCGGATGAGGTAGAATTCCCAGGAGTTGATTGACGGTTGTGGGGCTGGGATGATGGGCGTGTGGGAATTCATCAAACCGTTCTATCAACTTTTATGGGTGTTCAAGATTCTCCACAAGAAAAACCTTTAAAGATGGGCAAGTATTTTCCCTCATTTGTAATCAGAAAGGCAAATGACAATCATTTGAAACCACCACTTTGTATCTATCAAATTGCCAGAATTTTTTAAAAATGACAATGCCCATTGCATGTGAGGCTGTGATAAAACAGATGCTCTGATACCTGCTGCGTGGGGGTGGAGAGGAATGGAAAACAAATTGGTCTCGTCTTGGGAAGCATTTTGGCAATATGTATCAACAATCTTTAAAATATTTATATCCTTCGCTCCAATAATTCCACTCCCAATAATTTACCCTAAGAATTGACCCTCAAAATGGAAAATGCTTCTGCACAAAGATATTTGTCATAGGGTGTGTAGTAAAGAATCCGCCTTACCCAAAAAGCAGTCTGGCCTTTGTACTCTGCTGCAGGAAGGTGAGCTTTTGGACCTTGGGATGTCCTGCCTGGTAAGAGTGCCTTTGTTTGCCTGGGGCCTTGGCCACTGGACAGTTTAACAGTGATTTATGATGGGGACATTGGGCCATGCAGTATCCATTTTACCTCTGGAGGGGCTGGAGACTAAAGAGCAGCTGCACGGGCAGTCAACTATGGAGCCCCAACAAAAACTCAGGATGCCAAGGCTCGAGTGAGCTTCCCTGGTTGCCAATATTCCATGTGCATTGTTACATATCAGTGCTGGGAAAAGGACACTTCCCAGGACTCCATGGGTAAAGGAAAACTGGAAACTCCATGCCTGCAACCTTCCTGGACTCTGCCAATTGCATCTCTTTCCTTGGCTGGTTTTAATTTGTGCCCTTTAGCTGTAATAACCCATAACCGTGAATCTAACAGCTATCAGTGAGTTCTGCGAGTCTTTCTAGTGAATTATCAAACCCCAGAATGGTTTTTGGAACGCCCCCGGACTTGCAATTGGTGTCACAAGTGAGGGTGGTCTTGTGCATTGTGCTCCCGCTAACCTCGAACAGAGTTATTTATAAAAGAAAAACGGGCCGGGGGCAGTGGCGGGCAACTGTAATCCAAACTACTCAGGAGGCTGAGGCAGGAGAATCGCTTGAACCCAGGAGGCAGAGGTTGCAGTGAGCCGAGATGGCGCCATTGCGCTCCAGCCTGGAAGACAGAGTGAGACTCTGTCTCAAGAAAAAAAAAGCCTGGGAACAACTGTAATGTTCAATAAGAGGAACACTGTGTGTTTGATACAGCCATTAAATATAGCACTTATAAAAATATATATTAACATGAAAGCCTGGTGCAGTGTCTCACACCTGTAATCTCAGCATTTTGGGAGGCCGAGGAAGGAGGATGGCTTGAGCCCAAGAGTTCAACACCAGCCTAGGCAATATGGTGAGACCCTGTTGCTACAAAAAATACAAAAATTAGCTGGGCGTGGTGGCGCACACCTATAGTCCCAGCTACTTGGAGGGCTGAAGCAGGAAGATTGCTTGAGCCTGCAGTGAGGCTGCAGTGAGGCTGCAGTGAGGCTGCAGTGAGATGTGTTTGCCCCACTGCACTCTATCCTGGTGACAAAGTGAGACCCTGTTTTATATATATATATTTATATGGGAGGATGGCTATGTAACACATCAAACACAAAATGTTGGAGGCATAGTATAATTACTATATACATGTAGAATTCAAAATACATGTAGAATAACATCCACAGAAATTATAACAAAATGCCAATGAGTAGCTGTTTGGGAGTGGTAATATTATATGATTTTATTTTTGCATTTTCTACTTCTGTATATTTTTCAAATGGTCTACAATACGCTAATATGTGTAGCTTAGTTTGATAACCAGAAGAGTGTGTGTGTGTGTGTGTGTGTGTGTGTATGTGTTTAGTTTCTAATTTTAGCCATACTAGGGGTGATTCCATAGCATAAAGGAAGATGGTTCATGACTAGAAACTCCTCAAAACCTCAAATCTGGCTCTGTCACTAAAAATGTCACCAAAAGGAAAGAAAGAGAGATGGAATGTAAGGAAATCTAGGCAGCTGCAGAAGGAACTCTGATGGGCACCACTAAAAAGGGGGAAGGACAAATATAAAGGATGGGAAGAAGAAACAAAGTGAGGACCTACAGAGAAGGTCACATGAAGCCCTGAGCAGGGCGACAGGCAGCACTAGGAAAGAGACGGTCGTGATGACGGATGATGTGAGTCTATAACAGGGGCTTCAGCCTGGCAAACCCTTTGAATCACTCCCCGGTCAGTACCAACAGTGAGGGCTTCGTTCCTTGAGGGAGGCAAGGAGGTCTTGAGTTGATACTATACACAAAACACTTTCCTAAATATTGCCTCTATTCTCACGGGCTTCTGTTATTGGCAGAATGGAATGTGAATGAATAAATAAGCGGACTTTTGGTTAAAGAGTGTCAGAAGGCTGAAGCCAGCAATGAGTTGAGACTTGCAAAAAGAGCCCAGGGCATCACAAATGGCTCCTGCTTTTTAAAGTTAAGTTTAGGGCAAGTATAAAAAAACATGGCACAGGCCACTATTTAGGATCAGTAATGATTATCAGAAAGAAGGCAGAAGCCCTCCACCCCTAATTTACTTGTCGCTTCTGTCAAATAAAGTCTTTTACCATGAAACGGGTAATACAAATGTTGGTAAGAGGGAATTAAAGCTCCAAGTGCAGAGATGATAAAAAGTGCACCTGTTCTCTAGCCACGCTAATGAATTAAAGTTGATTACTTCGAAGAATTGCTTTCCAGATGTTGATAACCCTTGCAAATGGCACTGGTAAACTGGCAATGATCTTGGAAGCAACCAAGAGAACAGAAGATTTTAGAAGATGAGGATTGGTGCTCTTATAACAAACTACATCCTAGACATAATGCATTGCATTTTATTAAGTATTTTTACACAAATTCTTGTTTGTTCTTCCCAACAAACAAGTACGGTTGGGCCAACTGAGAGGATCAATGTGACCACAAGTAAGGCCCCACCCAGAGGCTTGCAGGTATGATCAGTGGGATGGATAAAATTATTCCATCTATTCTACAGTTGAGGAAGCTGAGGCCCAAGTTAGACTCACCAAAGGTCCCACCGAGAATTCATTCTGCAAATACAGGAGCTACTCATCACCCCCAAGCAAGAGTCTCAGATCCTAAATAACTTCTGAGCACCTAGAAAACAAAGTGGTGATCACGGTGATGCTGCATGGGTTCATTTACAACACACACATGCTACATCCAATTGACATCACTTCTGTCTTTGCCATATTAGACTCTTGGATGTGGTCCATCTGTGTTTCAGCAAAGGGCTTCTTACTCCCCTTCTGTGTCAGGCCCAAGGCTAGGCTGTCCCTTAATGGATGGTGGAAGAATGAGGTGCCCACCAGGAAACCCAGAGAGCTGTGTCAGCGAGGCTAACGTGAGTCAAGGCAGACCAGCCTCAGAGCCTGGTTACTATTGAAACCTGCACTTTGTTTTATATTGAGAATGATATTGCTATAGGCAATAGACTATAACTCTCATACATTGAAGGGAAACTGGACTTACCTGGGAAAAGGCTGGAGAACTCACGAAACTGACGGGAAGGTGGAGGAGCCAGGCAAGGGTGGCCAGAGCTGTCTTGTCAGGGCACTCTCGCTGGAATACAGGCCTCCGAGTGTTGTCTCAGGGCAGGGGGGCTGTCCTTCTACCACCTAATCAAGATTGAAAGTTCAGGACAGTGAGTCCCACTGCATAGCTTTAGAAATTATGCCTACCCATCGAGCTTGGAGAAAGGAGGGAGAGAGATGTCATTAAACCTCATGACATGAGAGTGGAGGAGGGCAGATTCTCCAAAGAAAATCAGGGTTATTGCTGGAAATAAGGCAAGTGAGCCACCTTATTGACACTTACGCAGGGCCCATAGCGTAGAGGGCAGCTTCTCGGGAGAACGAGCCTCTGCTTCCAGGGCCCATATTAACATGTGGAGGGACTAATGCGAGAAAAACACCAGAAAATAGATTTTGGTAAAGTACAAGAAAACACTTTCTAAGAGTTGAGCTTTCTGACAAACATGAGCAATTATAGGAGCCAGCAGTGATGTTCAGACAATCATTGGGTTTACCTGCAAAGTTATAGTGAACTCACATATCAGATGAGGAATGGGACTGGGCCACAGAGTTTAGTCCCTGTCAATTCTGAATTTCTTATTCTATCATGAAACAGTGAATGCATGGCCTGGTTTGACAGCAAGAGCAGCATGTAGCATATGAGGGAATATCAATCCTTTACAAAACTCAGAAATTAAAGTTCACTCACGCCACTCCTAAGCTGCCATATTTCATAGTCAGCCTAGCTCCTGACACAGGGGTTCAAAGAAATTGAAGTCTTGTTTTTCTTGATGCCCATGGAGAGCTTGCAGTCACCTGGCTGTGGGCTGCAGCCCTGTGGATGGAAAGCATGTCTGAGTCAGTGCCTCTGTCAGGAGACAGATGGAAGCGGCCACATGACCCCTGGTCCCACATCCATTCCACCAAATGGAGAGACATGACAAGCCTCTTATTTTCAGGACACAGCATCATTGATTATTCCCTGTTAATGCTTCCCTGTCGATGGTGGGCAGGGACTAGAGGGAAATGGAAGGATGTGATATCCAGGCCCCCCAAAGGGAAAATCAATGTGATATGGTTTGATATTTCATCCTAGGATAACCTCTTTCTCTGAGCTCCAACCCACAGGCCACTGTTTCTCTCTCCACCAACTCCACCAGACACTGTCACATCCTTTCACAGTCACCAAAGGACACAGAGGGAGGAGACAGATGAGGAGTGGGCACCAAAAATGATGAAACTCTGCTTTTGTTTTCTTTTAGGAATTTATAGCAACGAAACAGTCTACGGGCTGTGCTGAGACTTCCTAAGCAGTTTCAGATCAGAAGGGAAGAGCCTACTAAGTCAGCTGAAGAAACCCTTGTCTGACTTATTACAGATGCAACCCACAGAACGCTAATCTCAAAGGATGACCTTGGAAAACCGACAACCTAGAAACTGCCTGCCCCCTGGCACAATGCGGAAAGTTACAAGTTCAGAGCAAGAGGTAAAGACTTGTAATGCAGGGAGGTGAGAGGGAGAAAGCAACCTCTTTCTTTGTGTACACACACACGCGCGCGCACGCACACACACACACATCAAACACCAAGTATTTATGTTCCCCCTTCCCCCAAAGGAATCCAACATTCAAAACAAAACTCTTATGAATCTTGTATGTAACAGAAAGGGGAATTTTTGTTCCTTCTGGGGTTTCAGGGTAAAGAGGAAACAATACCACTTTATTATCTTTTAAATGGCGATGCGAAACAATAATATCCAGATACCTAAAGCTATGCGCACCCTTTGGTTCCAGACAAGCCGTCTTGTTAGCATTTAACCTCATCAGTGCTGTAGCCACACAGATCCGGAAACTGTGTTAGTTTATTTCGCAGTGTTGCTTCTGGAAAGCTCCAGGTTGTCCACTGCTATTTCCCTTTCACATAGGAGTTGCGCTGGGAGAAGTGAGTAGATGGTTTTCCCTGCTTTCCTTGCTCCCTGAGGACAGGAATCAGGGACTGAGCCCTCTGCCTGGGAGAGGCTGGACCAGGTGACCTGCAACGGGCTTTTCCAACTCTGATTCTACGTAGGATTCCTGTGGTGCAGACTCACGGGGCTGAGCCAAGGAGTCTGTTTTCTGCCTGTTGGGGGAATTGGGCAACTCATGTTTTACATACCTATGCAGTGTGGATATCAATCCTATGGAGTTCTTGTAAGTAGTACTTTATCCAATGCATTCATAAATGTATAGGATTATATCTGTGTTACTCACAGGAGCTACTGTTTAATATCTTAAACGAAAAGCATATGTCTTCACAGGAGCATGATTCATTTCGTGTTACGCAATTCACAAATGACCTGCAAGGATGCTGCCACTGAAGCTGTGGGTTGCAAACATCCTACACAGTGTTGCTGCACACCCCTGGATTCGTCTCTCCACAAGGAATCAACTTCATACTTTGGGTTCTACCCCATCGGCTGGTCACAATCATTCCTGCCTGAGTCCCTCCCCCCTGGACTCTGGTACTCCACTGGTCTCATTTCCCTGCAGCCTGGGGTCTTTCCTCCACTCCACACTGGCCAGTCAGGGGCTCAGGCCTTTTGAGGTTAGGAGAAGAGGGAGAAACACCACACCAGTGATATCGTGTAGGAGGGTGAGTATCCTAATCAGAACAGATGCCGGCCAGAAGACTCAGGGTCAGAATCCCAGTGTATCTGATGCTGTGGAAGTTTCTTTTCAAACAACGTGGAGAATATACATGGCCTGACAGCCTATTTGAAAAGAAAATGCCATGGGCCCTCAAGGATCCCCAAATTGCAGGAGGGCTGGAGCTCTCAGACAGTCCAGGAGGGAGGCACCCTGTGCAATACTTCCTGCTGAGGCCCTGGGCTTAAAGCAGAGCTGGGATTGCACATGCCCTCCGCTCAGCTCTCAGACATCCCCTTACACTCAGAAACACCTCTCCATGCTCACACACTTTTTTGGGCTTTCATTTGCCTTGTTTTATTGAATACAATACACTTCCAGAAAAATGCACAATCATAAGTGTACAGCTCCGTGTACACTCTCTTTTACAAACAGAACTCTCTTAGTTTATTTTGTGCTGCTATAACAGAACACCTGAGACTGGGTCGTTTACAAAGAAGAGAGATTTACTTTTCACAGTTCTGGAGGCTGGGAAGTCCAAGATCAAGGCATCAGAATCTGATGAGAACCTTCTTGCTGCATCCTCACACAGCGGATGGTGGAAGGGGGTGAACCCACGCCCACGAGCCCTTTTTATAGCGTCATTAATTCATTCATAAGCCTTCATGACCTAAACACCTCCAGTTAGGTCCCACCTCCCAACACGGTGGCATTGGGGATGAAGTTTCCAACACACACATTTTGGAGGGACACATTCAGGATATAGCAAGAACACATCCTCTAAACAAAGACATAGAACATGACCACAGTTTCCACAGGCCCTTTTTCTCCCTCCAGTTACTACTCACATCTACAGCAAGCACAATCCTGATTTGTAACAGCAAAGTTCAGTTTTGCTTCTTCTTAACCCTATATAAATGGAATCATACAATGTATTCTCATCTTTGACTTCTTTTGCTCAGCGCTGTAATTCTGAGATTCATACGTGTTGCTGCATACAGTTTGTTAATCCTCATTTCTGTACAGTGTTCTATTCTATGAATATAACACAACTTATGAATTCATTACCCTGTTGATGGGTGTTGGTATCATTTCCAGTTTTCACTGTTATATGTAGTACTGTTATGTACATATGTTTTGATGCATATATGTATGTGTATGTATGTTTCTATGGGGTTTGTACTTTAGAGTGGAATTTCTGGTAGATTGGGTTTGTGTATGTTCAGCTTTAATAAACATTGTCAAATAACTTTCTAAAGTGGTTGTACGAATTTACTCCCTGACAGTAGTTTATGAGAGTGTTCGTTGCTCCGTATCCTTACTTAGTAGTTGGTGTTATCTTTCTAATTTTAGACCTTCTGTTGAGTATGTAGTAATATCGCATTGGGTTTTAATTTGCATTTCATGGATGACTAATGATGTTTAAGCACTTTTTGATGTATCTATTGGCCATTCAGATATTCTCTTTTGTGATGTTTTCTTCAAGTCATTTGCCCATAATTTCATTGGATCATCTGTTTGTTTTCATTGATTTGTAATACTTTTAAAAATAGATTCTGAATGCAAGTCCTTTGTCAAATATTTGTGTTGCAGGTATAATCTCCTATTTTGTGGCTTGCTTTTTTACTAATGGGGTCTTTTGATAAATAGAACATTTCAACTTTAATATAATCCAATAATTATAGTAATCATTTTCTTTCTCTTTCTAGGTAGTGCTTTTGATATTTTATTTTTTAAATCTTTACCTACTTCAAGTAAATGAAGACACTTTCCTTTTTTTAACCATAATATTTACTTTTTTACACTTTCATCTTTATTATGCAATCTATATGGACTTGGTTTTTTTCAAGTTGTGGAAATAGGGATCAAGATGTATATTACCTGTGAATATCCAACTGAGTCAGCACCATATATTGAACGGGTCATCCCTTCCTTGCTGCACTACATCATTACCTTTGTCCTCAGTTAAGTGACTATGTGTGTGGATCAGCTTCTAGACTCTGTTCTGTTTCACTGTTTTATTTGTTTATTCTTGCACCAATACCACATGGTATTAATTACTGTAACTTTATAAGAAGTCTTGATAGCTAGCAGTGTGTCTTCCAGCTGTGTTCTTTAAACACTCTCTTCTCTATTCTTGGTCTCTAATGTTTCCATGTTTCAGAATCAGCTTAATTTCCCCCAAGAAATCTGCTGTGATTTTGACTGGAATTGCATTAACTCTGTAGACCAGTTGGAAAATAACTGACATCTTTACAATATTGAGGCTTTCAATTCATGAATACAGCAGATCTCTCCATTTATTTAGACCTTCTTTATTTTTCCTCTGTAATGCTTTCCATGTAAAGATTTTTTCTCATCTTTCATTAGATTTATTCTCAGTTTATGTCTTCGATGCTATTGTAAATATTTTTAAATTTCATTTTTGAACTGAATATTGCAGATATATAAAAATATCATTGATTTTTGTAGAGTAAACGTGAATCCAGTAGCCTTGCCAAATTTACTTATTTCTAATAAATTTAATTGACCATAGATTCTTTTGGATGTTCTACATAAACAATCATATGCTTTGCAGTCTGTAACTTCTTTTCCTTGCCTTATTGCAATGGTTAAGATCTCTAGTACAATGTTTAATAGAAATAGTATTAGGAAATATTCCTAATCTCAAGGTGAAAGCTTTTAATATTTCACTATTAACTATGATATTTCCTGTAAGATTTTTACTGATCTTTACCAATTTAAAGATGTTTCCTTCTATTCCTAGTGTGTTAAGTGTTCACTATGAATAAGTATTTGATTTTATCAAATGCTTTTTCTGCATCATTCTATTGAGATATTTTTTCTGCCTTACGATGCTAATGTAGTGAAATACACTAATATTTAAATGGAAACATAATTCGTATATCTTGAAAGTCATCATTTTAAAGAGTACAATTCAGTGGTTTTTAGTATATTCACAAAGTTGTGCAATGATTACCATATAACTCCGGAACATTTTCATCACTGCAGAAAGAAACCTCATACCTACTAGCAGTCCTTCCCCATTCCCCTTTTCCCATTGGCAGCTACTAATCTACTGCCTGTCTGCAATATCTGTCTCTATGGATTTGCCTATTCTGAACATTTCATGTAAGTGGAATATGGCCTTTTCTGTCTGGTGTTTTTCAATTAGCATAATATTCTCAAAGTTAATCCATGTTGCCACATGAATCAGTACTTCAGTCTTTTCATGGCAGAATGATGTTTTATTGTACAGATATACCACATTTTGTTTACCATTCATCAGTTGATAGGTACTTGGGTGGTTTTCACTTTTAGTTTATTGTAAATAAGGCTAAAATGAACATTTGTGTACAAGCTTTTGGGGGTACATAAGTTTTTAACTGTCTAGGAATGGGTGTAAAGTGGCATCTTGTAGTTTCAGTGTTTCTTCAGTGACTAATGATGTTGAGCATCTTTTCGTGTGCTTGTTGGCCATGCCTACATCTTCTCTGGAGAAATGCTTACTCGAGTCTTTTTGCCCATTTTTAAATTGGATTGTTTACCTTTTGGTTGTTGAGTCATAAGAGTTCTTTATATATTCTGGATATCAGACCCTTATCCAATATATGATTTGCAAATATTTTCTCCCATTCTGTGGTCGTCGTTTCATCTTCTTGACAGTGTCTTTTTGAAGCAAAAAATTTTAAATTTTGATAAAGGCTTATTTATCTATTTTTTCTTCAGTTGCTTGTGCATGTGGTGTCATATCTAATAAACCATTACCTCATCCAAGGTCATGAAGATTTATGCATTTGTTTTCTTCTAAATGTTTTCTAGTTTTAGCCCTTATGTGTAGGTCTTTGATATGTTTTTAGTTAATTTTGCATATTGTATAAAGAGGGATCCAACTTCATTATTTCGCATGTGGATATCCAGTTGTCCCAGATAGTTTGTTGAAAATAAATCCAGTTGAATGGGTTGAAAACACTGATTTTGTGATGTTAAGCCAAAATCTTGCATTCCTAAAATAAATAATTCACTGAACTTTACTTTCTAATATTTTCTTTAAGATATTTATAAGTATGTTCATTAGATATAGTGGCCTATAATTTTCCTTTCTTGTAATGAACCTGCCACCCTTTGGTATTAAAATTATGGTAGCCTCAAAGTGAATTGGGAATTATTTTTCTTTTTGTATTATTTCAAACAGTTTGTATAAGACTAGTGTCAATTCTTTAAATGTTTAAAAGAATTTGCTGGTGAAGAAAAAAATCTGGACTGGGGATTTTTTTGTGGGAAAGTTATAGTTACAGATTCAACTTTTTTTTCTTTCTTTTTTTTTTTTTTTTTGAACACAGTCTCACTCTGTTGCCCAGGCTGGAGTGCAGTGGTGCGATCTCGGCTCACTGCAATCTTCACCTCCTAGGTTCAAGCGATTCTCATGCCTCAGCCTCCTGAGTAGCTAGGATTACAGGAGCATGCCACCACGACCAGCTAATTTTTGTATTTTAGTAGAGATGGGGTCTCACCATGTTGGCCAGGCTGGTCTTGAGCTCCTGACCTTAAGTGATCCACCTGCCTCAGTCTCCCAAAGTGCTGGGATTACAGGCGTGGGCCACTGTGCCCAGCCCAGATTCAACTTCTTAAACAGATATAAACAATTCAAATTTTCTATTTATTCTTTTGGGTTTGTTGTTGTTACAGGGTCTCACTCCGGTTGTCCAGGCTGGAGTGCAGTGGCAGCATCTCAGCTCATTGCAGCCTTGACCTCCCTGGCTCAGGTGATTCCCCCACCTCAGCCTCCTGAGTAGCTGGGATTACAGGTGCACGCCACCACGCTCAGCTAATTATTTGTATTTTTAGTAGAGACGGGGTTTTACATGTTGGCCAGGCTGGTCTTGAACTCCTGGACTTAAATGATCCATCCACCCTGGCCTCCCAAAGAACTAGGATTACAGGCACGAGCCACCATGCCCAGCCTTCTATTTACTCTTGAGCTGGTAAATTGTATTTTCCTAGAAATTCCATTTCATGAGGATTTTCTGATTTGCTGACAGAAAGTTCTTCATATTACATTCTTAGAATATGAAGGTTTGGGGTTTTAAAAAATCCCAGGCTTTTTCTGGGGTTTTATATTGGTAATCTGTGCCTTTTTTCTATTTTTAAAATAGAGTTTAGAGTAGTTTTGGATTCACAGCTAAATTGAGCAGGAGTACAGAGAATTCCCATATACCTTCTTCCCCCACACATGCACAGCCTTCCTCACCAGAGTGATACATTTGTTACAATCAACACATTATCATAAAACAGTTACACATCTTTATCATCCAAAGTCCATAGTTGATACACTAATGTTCACTATTAGTGTTATACATTCTATGGGTTTTGATAAATGTATAATGGCATTTATCCATTATTGTAGTATCATACAGAGTATTTTCACTGCCCTAAAAATCTTCTGTGCTCTGCCTATTCACCTCTCCTTCCCATCTAACCCTTGGCAACAATTCATCTTTTTACTGTCCCCATAATTTTGCCTGTTCATATAGATGATATCATACTGTAGGTAGCCTTTTCAGATTGGCTTCTTTCACTTAGCAATATGCATTTAAATTTCCTCTATTTCTTTTCATGGCTGGATAGATCATTTCTTTTTAGAGTTAAATAATATTCCATTGCCTGCATGTACCAGATTGTTTATCCATTTACCTGCTGAAAGACATCTTGGGCAATTACAAATAAATCTGCTATAAACATCTGTGTGCAGTCTTTCTGTGGACATAGTTTTCAGCTCATTTGGATAAATACCAGGAAGCATCATTGCTAGATTGTATGGTAAGAGCATGCTTAGTTTTGCAAGAAACTGCCAAACCGTCTTTCATCATAGCTGTGCCATTTTTCATGCCCATTAGCTAATTCCCATTAGCGTTCCTGTTGCTCCACATGCTCACCAGCATTTGGTGTTGTCAGTGTTTTGGAAAATCACCATTGTAATAGGTATGTCATGGCATCTCATTATTATTTTATTCTGATGAGCATCTTTTCATATGCTTATTTTCCATCTGTATATCTTCTTTGGTGAGGTGTCTGTTCAGATCTTTTGTCCACTTTTTAATTTAGGGCTTTTTTTTTTTTCTTATTGCTGAGTTTTAAGAGTTCTTTTTACAGTTTGGATAACAGTCCTTTATCAGATGTGTCTTTTGCAAACATTTTATCCCAGCCTGGGGCTTATGTTCTCATTTTTTTGACTTTTTTTTTTTTAAATCAGTCTTGCTAGAGGTTTATCAATATTATTAGTCTTTTCAGAGAACCAATCTCTGGGTTTGTTGCTATCCTTTTTCTACTTTTTGAGATGCGTACTTAGACTGACTTTTAGCCTTTTTTATGCAAGTTTTGATGTCATTTAAAAATTGCCATATAGTTCCAAATATTGTCTAACATCTACTGCAATTTATTTTTGAACTATCAATAATTTAGAATTGTAATGTTTAATTTCTAAATATTTCAGGCTCTGCTGGGGTTTTTAAAAAATTGATTTTTAGAGTAATTTCACTTTGGTCAGAGAACATATTTTAGGTGATTTACCCTTTGGAATTTGTTGGGACTTACTTTAAAGACCAGCATATGATAAATTCTGGTAAAAATTCAATGGGTGCTTGGAAAGAATACCTCTTCTGACACTGCTGGTTATAGTATTCTATGGACATTAATTAGGTTAAATTTATTATTCATTTTATTGTAATCATCCATATTATTAATCACTACTTGTACTATCAGGTACTTCTAGGTCTGTAATTTTGTTTTCTATATTTTGAAGCTATATTATTAGTTGCATTAAAATACAAACTCTATCTTTCTGGTAGATTTATCTTTTTATCTCTATGAAATGTTCCTTTGTGTCCTTAGTAATGCTTCTTGACTTACATTTATCTCAACTGATATTTGTATAGCTATATCAGCCTTTTCTTGGTTGGTGTGTTTTTTATCATCCTTTTACTTTCAATTTTTCTCTTAACACTCAAAGTATGCCTCTTGAAAGCCAGATATAGTTAGGTTTTTAAAATATTTACCCATGTGTTAGGCAGCCTCTTTAAGATGACCTCAAATGACCAACCTCCTGGTATTAAAGCCTTGTGTAATTGCCTTCCTTGTGTGAGGACTGAAGCTGACTAACCTCTGGTGAATTCTAATGGTTAGTCCTGCTCATGCAAAAGTTGTCAGATTCAAAATGGAGTCACTTGTGTCAAACCCTGACAACGTGGAGCCAGGGAAGGCTATGAAAGGAGGGATTTCATGCACGATTTGCCTGATAACAGAAACGAATCAAAGCTTACCAACTTAAGTCACACAAGGACAGCAGGGCAGCTAATCACTTTTCTAAGAACACTTGCCTGACACATTGACTCATATGCAAGGCCAATCAAACAAAACATAATTTTAAGATCACAAATTTCACCCAATAACTGCCACCACTCACAAATCAGCACTTGCCAGCTCCCAAAAGACACTATCCCCTCCAATGACTTTCTTTCAGAACGACTTGTATAACCTCCTCTTTCCCCAGTAAAACCCTAACCTTTTCCTTTTCTCTGGACATACTGGAGGACACCTGGGTCTGTCTGTATGTATGACCTGGATTGCAATCCCACATCTTGTGTATTACTCCCCAATAAAACCTTTTTACTTAGAGATTCATCTTTCTATACATTTTTATGTTGACATACGTTATTTCACATGTATAGATACAATTGTATCTGTAGGACAAATTCCTAGGATTGCTGGGTTTAAAAATGTAATGAACCTTTGTAATTTTAATAAGATACTGCCAACTCTTTATACTTGGCACTAGTTTATACAATGTATGAGAGCATCTATTTAACTACACATTTGCCATTATAGCGTGTTAACAAACTTTATTATTTTTGGTAGGTGAAAAACTTCTATTATTAAGCATTTTCGTATGCTTCAAAGTCATTTGTATTTTCTCTTCTATTACATGTCTCTGTTAATCTCCTTTGCCCATTTTTATACTGGATTGCTAATGTGTTTTCCTTTTTATTGATAGGGACTCTTTCTATTTTAGATAACTTAGGCCCTCATCTTGGCAGAGTTACACATTTCTTGCCCAAGTTCTCATTTGCATTTGCTTATGGTGCTACTGCCATGATGAAATGTTTTCTCTCTGTGAAGTCTAATCCAGCAATCTTTTCTTTTATGGCTTCTGGGTTTTGTGTCATACTTAGAAAGGCCTTCCCCAGTCTTAGGTTATAAAATAACTTTCCTTTTTTTTTTTTTTTTTGTACTTTTAGAAAAATTATTATTTTTTACGTTTAAATCTTTAGACTGTCTGTAATTTGTCCTGGTATAAGAGGTGAAGTATAGATCCAACTTAACTTTTTTCACCAGAGCCCTACCTAGGAGTTCCCACCCCATTTGCTGACTAATCTTTTTTCCACTGATTGAAAAGCCATCTTTATCATATTCTCAATTCTCGTAAGTATTTAGATCTATTTTTGAACTGTTCTGTTCCACTCATCTGTATGACTACTCACAAATTATTACTACTCTGTTTTAATTGCTGTAGATGTATAAATTTTAATATCTAGTAGTCTCCCTCTATCTTTTTTTAATATGAACTTTAGAATTAATTTATATAATTTTTTTCAATTCTATTGGTATTTTTATTGAAGATCACATTACATTTGTAAATCGAGAGAAGTGATATCTTTATGATGCTGCGTATTTCTATGAGAGAACGTGGTGTATCTTCCCGTTTGTTTGGGTCTTGTTTCATCTCTCATTAGCATTTTAACATTTTCTACAAATAATATTTCTTGTGTTTATTCCTATGTTATCATTTATGTTTTGTGCTATTACAACATGGGTCTTTTCTTCCCTTAGAGCTTGAAATTAGACATTGTATCTATAAAAGCTATTGATTTCTGAAAATTAATTTATTAAATTCTTATTTTGTAAGGTCTGGTTAGTCTTCTTTAGTTTCTAAGTAAAAAACTCAGTATCATCTTAAAATTATAATTTTCTCTTCTCTTCTAATTTCTGTATCTTTAATTTCTTTCACTTAATTGTTTCGCCTAAGTCTTACAGAACATTTTTAAATAATAGTGATAATTAGTGGACATCTTTTTCTTGTTCCTGACTTCAATGAAATTGCTTCTGGTATTCTCAATTAAGCATGACGCAGGCTTTGGATGAGATAAATATATTTTATCACATTAAGGAAACACCCAGCTATTCCTAATATTAAATGATCCTTGCATTCCTGAAATAAGCCTCATTTAGCCATGGTAAATTAGTCTTTCATCTAGAGCCAGTCTGACTGGGTTCAAATCCTGGCACCATTACTTCTTAGCTTTTTGTGTTCAAGCATAATACTTCACATCTTTATGACTCAGTTTCTTTGTCTCTTAAATGGGGATGATGAGAATATCTACTCATTAGGTTGCTGTGAAAATCAATCGACTATATGGAAAGTTGAGCATCTTTTCACGTTTGAGAGACATTTGCATTTTTTCTGTCAACTGTCTGCTCATATCTCTTCTACAGTGGTCTACAGGAGATTCTCTATTTTTATGTTTATAAATTAGGAGTATTAGCCTTTAATCTGTGATGTAAGTTGCAACCATGTTTCTGGGTTATCACTTGTATTTTAGTTTGCTTACTGTGTATATGCATGCAAGGTTTTTTTTTCAACAGTCAAATATATCTCCTCTTATTGCATCTAAATTTTTAGTAGTATTTAGTGTGGAAGAGTACATTATTGGTCCCAAAACTTTCCATTGTCTATATCCCCATCCTTTGCCATGTGGATTTACATTCCCTTCTACCAAAGGAGTGGGGTATATTTTTGTACTGGTCCAAGGAGATGAAGGACACTTAGAGCAGAGGTGCCCCAGCTGAGTTCAGTCGCATTATTATGCAATAGCTAACCCAGGTTACAAAGCATGGGTCCACAGTCTTTTTTAAATAAAAGTTTGGATAGCAAATATTTTAGAGTTTACGACCACATAAAGTCTCTGTTCCATGGTCTCCTCTTTTGTTATTGAACACTTTAAAGGTGGCAGAAAAAACAAAACAAAACACCGTTCTTAGCTTGCAGCAGTCCAAAACTAGGCCTTGGGCCAGTCAGATTTGGCCTACAGGCTATGTGGCTTGCTGACCCCTGTCACAGAGGAATTCATCTTTTTTTTTCCAGTAGTTGTATAGTTTAAATTGTACAATTAAATCTCTCATCAATTTGAAAATTATCCTGGCATAGTGTGAGAAACAGATCCACTTTTTCCTGTATAGCTATATATTTATATGTAGCTATATAACTATATCCAGTTATCTCAACACCCTTCATTTTTATAATCCATCTTTTCCCCCACTGACTTAGGGCACCACCTTTATTGTATCCTGAACTTTCATATGCAATTGGGCCTGTTTCAGAATTTTCTATATCGTTCCATTAATCTATGCATGCACCTATACCACACTTTCAGAGTTGTGTTTTATGTTTTAATATGTAGTGGGACTAGCCCTCCTCCTACCAAGTGCTCTCTTAAAAGGTTTTCCTCGGGCTGCTCTTGTTCATTTGTTCTTCCAAATGAACTTTACAATCAATGTGTCAAGCTCCAGAAAAAAAACTGATGGCATTGTGGGGGTCCCATAAAATCTTTCTGCAGAGTACACAGGCCCAGATTTTAAACTACTTATTAAATTTGTTTAATGTTACAAAACTAATCAAGCATTCTATTTCCCCTGAATGAGTTTTGAGAAATTATTTTCCCTAGGAATTTTGTCTAAGCTTTCAAATATATTGGCTTAAGTTGTTCATATTCATAACTTTATCTATGAGAGTTATCTGATACCTGGATTGAAGGCTCATTCCTCCAGAGAGAATTTGTGGTTGCTTCTAGTAGTTATCTGGGGTTACAACTGGCTTGGGTCTACTGTAAATTAAATTTCCTCATGCAGTATTTTGCAACATACAAGTAGCATAAATTTGAGGCCCAACTCTCTATGTAAGGGACAACTTGTTAAACATTTTTAGGTTGGTGAGACAGGAACAGCTTTTCCTCCACCCAGGGCCAAGGTCAAGAAAGGCAATTTTCCTTGCTGTTATTTCTGCTTGGTGGCTTATTTAGTGTTTACCTTTACACAGTAAGGGTAGCACTTGGAGGGTCCCCACTTTGTGGGAGATCTCAGATTAAACTTCCTGCCTTGAGCAGGCCCTGCTTTACCTCCTGCATCCATCTCAGTCAGCACAACAGAGGCTCAGGGTAATCAGGGCTTACCCTGATCTTCAAGGTAAAAGATGGCTTTTGTCTTACTTGCTTTCCCAGGTTTAAGCTTTCATGTCATTTTTTTTAATTTTTATTTTATTTTTTTAATTATACTTTAAGTTTTAGGGTACATGTGCACATTGTGCAGGTTACATATGTATACATGTGCCATGCTGGTGCGCTGCACCCACTAACTCGTCATCTAGCATTAGGTATATCTCCCGATGCCATCCCTCCCCCCTCCCCCCACCCCACCACAGTCCCCAGAGTGTGATATTCCCCTTCCTGTGTCCATGTGTTCTCATTGTTCAATTCCCACCTATGAGTGAGAATATGTGGTGTTTGGTTTTTTGTTCTTGCGATAGTTTACTGAGAATGATGATTTCCAATTTCATCCATGTCCCTACAAAGGACATGAACTCCTCATTTTTTATGGCTGCATAGTATTCCATGGTGTATATGTGCCACATTTTCTTAATCCAGTCTATCATTGTTGGACATTTGGGTTGGTTCCAAGTCTTTGCTATTGTGAATAATGCCGCAATAAACATACGTGTGTATGTGTCTTTATAGCAGCATGATTTATAGTCATTTGGGTATATACCCAGTAATGGGATGGCTGGGTCAAATGGTATTTCTAGTTCTAGATCCCTGAGGAATCGCCACACTGACTTCCATAATGGTTGAACTAGTTTACAGTCCCACCAACAGTGTAAAAGTGTTCCTATTTCTCCACATCTTCTCCAGCACCTGTTGTTTCCTGACTTTTTAATGATTGCCATTCTAACTGGTGTGAGATGGTATCTCATTGTGGTTTTGATTTGCATTTCTCTGATGGCCAGTGATGATGAGCATTTTTTCATGTGTTTTTTGGCTGCATAAATGTCTGTCATTTTTTACTTCTATAGATTTTTTTCATTTCTTATTATTATTCTGGGTGTTTAGAAATAATTTTTGGTTTTTTTGTTTGTTTTTCTAGAGGAGCAATGATAAAACTAACTTCAAAAGTAAAAGAATTCTGTACGGATGCTCAGTACCTGGGTAACAGGTCATTCATACCCCAAACCTCAGCATCACGCAATATACCCAGGTAACAAACCTGCACATGCACCCCTCAAATCTAAAATAAAAGTTGAAAAAGAGAAAAAAAAACCTTTCCCATGCATTTCATGGTTTTAGGGCTTAGATTATACTAAGCTAAGAAGATAAAACTGACTGACCTTTGGCTGCAAAACAAAAAGAGTTTGTTACTGACTGCTATGGTATAAATGTTTGTGTCCCCCGAAAACAGGTGGAAATCCTAACCCCCAAAGTGTTGGCATTGAAGACAGGGCCTTTGGGAGGTCACTAGATTAGGAGGGTGGAGCCCTAGTGATTGGGATTTATGCCCTTATAAAAGAGACCCCAGAGAGCTAACTAGTTCCCTTCACCATGTGAGGACACAATTAGAAGGTGCCATCTATGAACCTGAAGGCAAGCTCTCACCAGACATTGAATCAGCCAGCACCCTGATCTTGGACTTCCCAGACTGTGAAACCATAAGAAATAAATTTCTGTTGTTTATTTTTTTAAAAAAATTAGGTAAGGTAGCAAGATATATTAGCATACAAAATCAGTAGCTTTTATATAGAGAGCAATAACCAGTTAGAAGACATAATGGCAGAGGAAATCTCATTTACTAGCAAATAAATTAAATACTTAGGGATAAGCTTAGCAAGAAATGCACAAAACCTACACAAGGATAATTTTAAAACACTGCTAAAAGGCACAAAATAGACTTGAATAAATGGAAATACATCTCCTATTCTTGGATAGGATGACACCACATTTTAAAGATGTTAGTTCTCTCTAAATCAGTTAATATCATATAATATCAATAAAATACCAATGTACCTTAAAAAATGAATTTAGACAAGTTGATACTAAAGTTCACATGGAAAAACAAACATGTATGAATAGCCAGAAGCACAATAGGAAAAATTATAAGGGGGACTAGCCTTGCCAGTTGTTAAAACATACTATAAAGTCTCTATAATTAAAACAGTGTGGTACCATGCACAAGTAGACCAGTGGAACAGAAAACCCAGAAAGACCCAAGTACATATGGATCCTGGATTGAATACCGAACCAGAAAAACAACATTACTGGGAAAACAGCTACAATTCAAATAAAGTATGTAGTTAATAGGATTGTGCCAATGTTAATTTCCTAGTTTCAATAATTGTACCATTGGTATGTAAGTTAACATTAGAAGAAGCTGAGAGAAGGGCACACAGGAAATCTATTTTTGCAGATTTTCTGTTAAGTCTAAAATTATTTTTTTTAAAAAAGGTTTTGGATCAAGAGCCCCTGAGAATGTGAAGAGGGGGCTCTGTGTCAGGCTAACATGGAACACCAGAGGGAATAAATCGCCACTGCTCACATTCCCTGAGCTGGCCTCACTTTATCTCTGGCTGGTGAGCTTTTGCTTGGATTCTATAAAATACACGTCTTTACAATAAATTCCATTCCATGCTTTAAAATGTAAAATAAAAAATTGGTGTTACAAAAAGTTTCTGTTAATTCTCCAAATGCATTTCTTTGTTTTCATTGGGTCTTTAAAAGTATTTAGTCTGTCATGCTAATTGAAATACTTACTTCATTTCTTCTATGACAATTGTTATATTAGATTTCTTTTGATGTCATTTTTTGGCAAACTATACCTTCCTGGAAAATTATCCATTTAATCCAAGTTTTTAAATTGTTTGCATACAGTTGAGCAAAGAATATTTTATGACTCTTACCTATTCAATACTTGGTAATTCTTATTTTGTGTTTGTCTTCTCTTGTAATGTTAGCTAAAATGTTACATATTTTACTACATATTTTAAAAATTAGCTTTGTTTCCTCATTTTTCTAATTAATTTTTCTTGATTCTTTTAGCCTGCCTTTAAAAGATTCCTTTTCCTAATATTTTGAGTTATATGACATTTATCTTATTTTTTAATACATAAATTTTAGGGCAATGAATTTTCCTCTGAGCACTGTTTTATTTGTATCTCAGAGGAACAAGTTTATATTTTAGATATGAAATGTTTTTTTAATACTTTGCATTTCCTAATCAACCCAAGAATAGTTGAAGAGCTTAAAAACATTTTGGATTGCAGATGAGCAGTGTTTTCTGGCTTTAATTTATTGCATTTTTTTTTCTGACCACCTATCCTCAAATTCTAAGTTTATTGCATTTTTATCAGCAAATGCCATCTGTTGTTCCTTTTTTCCGTTCTGAAACTTATGTTTTCTGTACGCTCTAATACACAGTCAAATGGGGAAATGTTTCATGGATACTTTGAAGTGTAGTTACCACTTTTAGGGTAAAGTCTAATATGCATCAACTAGATCTTCTGTATCTTATTTAAATCATCCCATGTCCTAGTTTTTTATCCACTTGATCTGTCATGAATTGACAGAATTGAATTAAAATATCCAACTAACATTGTATTTGTTTCTTCCTGTGTCTCCTATGGTTTCCAATACATAAATGGTTTTCCATTATTTGGTACACAGATATCTAGAAACATTATCTCGTGAGTCACACCCTTTAGCATTATGTCGTGGTTTTTTTTGGTTTTTTTTTTTCCGGTTCCTTTTCCCTAAGTTCAACCTTGCCTGATATGCAGACTACAACTCATTTTCTTGTTTGTGTTTGCTTGGTTTACTTTTGCTCAACCTTTCTGAATCTTATAACATGAAATTAGTGTTTGCTGACATTTTTGCCTTTTATCTACAGATAAGTTTACTTTTATTAATATGACAGGTACATTTGTTCCTATTCTATGGTTTTAGACATCTTTCATTTTTGTGATTTGTTTGGTTGTGCATACATGTTTTTTCTCATAATTAGCAGTCTGAATTTTTCTTCTAGTGATAATCTCTTTAATCATATTTTCATATGATCCCCATAATCCTCTATTTCACTAGTCAATATACCTTAATTCTCTACTATGAGCAATGAAAAATTAGTAATTTACCTGTCCTCCCTATACTATTTTAATAATGGAACATAAGTCACTTTCTTATTTCTATGTACAAAAGCTAGACTGCATCGCCTAATTTAAAATGCTGGTCAGTCAGAAGCTGTTCAGGAAAAATGTTGGCCCAAAACTCATAATTATTTCACTTTTATGCAGTTTCAAAAGATTTAGCTAACTTTATTTATAGCACGGTATTAATGAGACCAAAATCATGGGATCAGAACTTAGTGTGAGCCAGCAGATTGGTTTTATCCCATGGGCACTTCCTGTAGGCTTAAAATATCAATGATTGCTAAGGTGTTCAGTCCAAAAGGTGTAAATAGATCAACACAAATTTATTGTCACTACTGAGAAACAAAGCCCAAAAAACTTAACTGGTAGTTGAACAACTTTGACACTGAAGAACAGTACAAGGAACTAAGACCATCACATTGTGCATTAAACTCTACTAAGTCGGTGGTTCAAGGGGAATAACCTCAGACTGGTATCATGCTAGAACATGTAATGGAATCAGTCAGCCATGATTCCAAATACACCATTACTTCCAATTCAGTTTAACCTAGTTTTAACATGTCAGTAGCTCCTACCAATAAGTGGGCCTAGCTATATTTCCCACGGAAGGTGATCAAGGCAATGCAAATCTGTTCACATCTCAGTTCCAGCTTTGTATGCACAATGGGCCAGTTGCAGTAGGGTTTCCACGAATGCACCCTGAGCTTAGCAGAGGAATACGGCAATAGTTCTCCAACTCAACAAGTAAGCCAGTATACACAGGACCCTTCACTTCCTGGCTCTTGCCTTTCTCTCTTTGTTCCTCTGTAAGCTTTACATGTGGGCCATACTAAAACACTTGCAGTGCTCTGAATAAACCATGCTTTTACCCTTGGAGGGCTTCATCCACTCTTCTTAACTCCTGCTTATCCTTCAGGATTTCTTTCAATGTTTTTTTTTACTTCTTCCACTGCCCAGTTTGAGTTAAAGTGCCCTCCTCCTTGCTGCCAAAATACCCTGTCATTCTTATTTCATTCTACATTGTAATACTTTTTTTCTGGTCTCTTCCGCAGAAGACCATGAACATCATGAGAGCAGGAATGCCTTTCTTCTCTGTATACCCAGCTCCTAGCAGAGTGCTTGGCATAAGATGTGTTCCATACACATCTAATGAATGAAGGGGCATTTCTAAAAGCCAAGACTGTTAAGGCAGCTTTTGCTAACAGTCAAAAGAAATGTTTACCAAGGTGTTGAAAACAGTCTATCACTAACATTAACATCTCAGAACACATATCCCCCTCACTTAGGAATCAGTTGTGCCTTGGTACAGAAAGGATAATACCTTCTTATTGCCACAGGTTTGCAAGATCTGCAAAATTTCATTGACTTTTCTCTTGCTCTGGTCACTCTCAAGAACAAAACTAGGTTGTTATAAGAGGATGTCACAGAAACCGGCTATCTCCTTTCAATCATGTACGCACAGAGAAGGGATGAGCCCATTCACAGTTGCCTGGTAGAGAAACAGCCCACCAGGACAAACAAGTCAATAAAGAGGTCTCATCAGACACTGGCCCATGGCCCAGTGGCCCACAGCTTATGCATATGTACATGCCCTCCAACAGTTCAGTTTGTAAAAAGAGGCAGCAGAGGTATTGATTGGGAACAGACACTCTTTAACATCAGACTTGAATCTGAATCTTGACTGACACTTAATAGATATGTGACTCGAGCAAGTTTGTCTGTAACTGTAAGTGTATTTCATTGTTTTAAAATGGAGATAAAAGTACCTACCTTTAGAGTTGTTGAATAAGTGAGATGTTGCTTCCAAATGGCAGACCACCAAATACATATTTGCCATTATTATTATTAGGTACTCTGGACAGGGGCCTAATAGTTTCAAGGATAGTATATCTAAGGAGCCCAGGAGTATCCTGCTTTAGGGCAGTTACCCTCTTCCCTAAGAGGTCCCTGAGGAGGACTTCGCTTCATCAGTGTTCAGTAAATGTTTGTTCAATCAGTGACTGGGGCAATGGTTCTGGTGGACCTTTGTTATTCTTATTGGCTGTCCAGCATCTGAAGTACCTTCCCATGTGTGAGGAAGCTCAACTTTCCAGATAACCTCATTCTGACTTCCTAGCCAGGACACAGGCATATGACTACTAATCAGATCCACCTACCCCATATTTTGAATCAGAAACTAGTGATTCAAAGACATCAGGAACACACAGGGTCACATCTGATGAAAGTGGAACCCCAAGTTTCACTGTATTCATAGGGCTAGTGCTGATGCCCCAATAAAAAGTTCTTTGATAAAAATCAACATGAAGTTCAAGGCCAAAAAGGCTTGAGGAAGCCAAATTAAAAAATTAACCAGCAGCAGAAAGCCACAGATTAAAGACAGCATTAGGTGGAGGAGCCCCTTTTGGGCACAGGCCCCCTTACCAGTCCAAGACCCGGAAGAGGAGAAAGCAGAAGAGGGAACACAGTCCAGGCCATCTTTTCATAAATAGCAACTCATAAGTAAACAGGAGTGACCCACCTTAGAATCTCACTAATCTAATTAGCAATTCCTCCTACCTCACTGGGCTTGGAGGAGGAACAAGGGAGGTGAGAGAAGGACCAGAGACCTTTAATATGCTTTCCTAGAAGCCTGCAGTAATAAATGTGAATGCTCCACTCTAATCTGTGCTTTTAAGTTGGTGCATTAAGGTGGTATGGCAAAGGAACTCACTGGCATACAGGTGTTCACTGAAATAACGGAGGTGGCGGCAGAGACCGGCATCCAGTCTGTGCTAGACTGACCTACCAAACAACTCCACAGAAACTGAGAAAGAGCAAAGAAGTGGCAGAAAAATCAGGAAAGTAGGGTCAGGAAAGGGAGCATTCCAAAGAAGGAAGTGGTTATATAGCATCAGTGTCATAAAAATCAACCTATGGGCTAAATTTTAATAGTAGAAGTCACTGGTGGGTGAATCCAGCAAGAACAGTTTTAATGGTAGCAAGGGTAGCAGCCAGGTTTTAGAGTGGTGGTTCTCAGCCTCAGCTACATTTCTTTTTAAAGACTGAAACCCATCCCCACCTCCCCATGCTGATTTAACTGGTCTGTGGTCCAGTCCAGGAATTAGGACTTTTTAAAACTTCCCAGGTGACCCTAACATGCAGCCAGGGTTAAAAACCACTGCCTCGGTAGACTGCAGAATGGACAGAGTGCAGATAAGGGCAGTATACCTTAGTGGTACTCAGGCTTTCAAAGGGTTGAGGAAAGGTCTTTTGTTTGAAGGAAGGAGTATCTGAACATGTTTAAATGCAAAGCTGTATGTGCCAGGAGTGTGAGGCTGTAGCTAGATCAAGTCATTTATCAAGGGAGAGGTCCTAGGGCACAGGAAAAGGGGTTCGTCTTGGGCAGGACAGGCACTGGCAAGAAGGTAAGGAAGCGTGTGTGTGTGTGGGTGTCTAAGTGGGAAGTTCTGCCCGAGGCTGTTATGTGGTGGGGGAGGGCTGAGATTAACTGCTAAGATTGAGAGAAGGTGGGGGTAAAAGGGTTTAGAATGGCCAGTTTGCAATAAGCTGCTGACAACAGGAGGGAGTTTGACATCAATACTGAGAGCAATTCAAATCGTTACCATGACTTTGGGGTGGCATCAGTTTGCATGGTCGTGAGATTTTTTTTCATGGCCACTTGAGGAAGCAAGGTGTAGGACCCATACATAATGAAATGCATTGATTTTGAGTCAAAGTCACGAAGGCCATCTTTAAGTTCTCTGATATTTTCTTTCCCCTTTCAATTAAAAACATTTGATTGAGGGGTCAGCAAGGGTCAGAACTTTTAGGGAAAGAAAACATTAACTTATATAATTTACATCTTAAAGCCTTCTAACTTTTTAGTCTCACACCTTGATAATATCTAGTAACACTAACATTTTTGGCCAGAGGTAGTTTTAACTGGTCTTCAAGATGGAAAAGAAGTGTGGTGTTTTAAAAGACTGCAAAAATTGAAATGAGAGCTTAACAGCCTACAGACATGAGCATCTGAGGAAATGAGAACTCCTAGTACACCTTTGCAAACACAATGAACTCTTTAGCTATGCATATTCCCTGAAAAGACAGAACTTGGATTTCTGGGCTCTGGCAACCAGTTAGGACCCAGCCCAATTAATAAAGGTAAAATATGAAGAAAAAATGGCCATGGTTTCTTTTCAAAGCCTTAAGATTAGAGTACCATATTCTGAAATGCTGAATCCACGAGTCAGACAATAACAACAACCAAAAAGCATGACATCGCTATTGGTCTCCAACCCCTGCAAAATTGCTAGCTGAAATCTAAAAAAAGAAAACACGGTGTGATTAAGTGGGATCACAGAAAATTGATTTTTACATGCTCTGAAGTACTGAGATTCAGTCCTAGCAAGAGATTACCAATAACTCAACAGGTATTTATTACACATCTATGTACCCAAGGTGTTTTTTTCTTCCAATTTTTTTTTTCATTTTTATGAGCCGTACTTTAAATGATTCATCATTATCATGCTGGAAAATACATGATACTTTCCCTTGAAACTAAGATCTAATGAACAAATATGGTAAACTCATACCTTACACAAATCCTATTTTTACTGCCAATTGTGAAAAATGACTATCATTCGTAGACTAACAATTCATTGATCTATTTTTATCAATTTTTATTTTATTATCTATTTTTTGATACAGGGTCTTGCTCTGTCACCCAGGCTGGAGTGCAGTGGCCAGATCATGGCTCACTGCACCCTCAACCTCCTGGGCTTGAGTGATCCTCCTGCCTCTGCCTCCCAAGTAGCTGGGACCACAGGCATGCACCACCACAGCCAGCTAATTTTTAAAATTTTTTGTAGAGACAAGGTCTCACTGTGTTGCATAGGCTGGTCTTCAACTCCTGCAATAAAGCAATCCTCCCGCCCTGGCCTCCCAAAGTGTTGGGATTATGGGCGTGAGTCACCACACCCAGGCTTTATCCATTTTCAAAAGGTTATTTCCATCCACCTAAACATAGCCCTTGATAGCATCCTTTGTCAATTCTTCAAAAAGATCTTTCAGGAGCTTGTAGGGGAAAAAAAAAATATGAGAAATAAAGACATTAACAGTTTCTGCAAAGAATTATACAAAAAAAATCTCTTTACTTATGGAGGGAATATGAGAGCACCTCAGAGCTTAGGAGGAGACCAGTCCATTAAAACATCTTTTTAACCGTGGCAAAGCCTATGGTTCTCAAACTTGAGCATGCACCAAAGACCCCTGGAGGGCTTGTTGAAGACTGCTGGGCCTTGCGCTGGGAGTTTCGGATTCAGTAGGTCTGGTGAGGGCAAGATGTGCTGATGCTGTTGGCCTAGGGACCACACATTGAGAATTCCTGCTCTGGGCATCTCCCTTTCTCTCCCCATTGCTTCCCACTTCTCCACCTTGCCAAGATTGCTTCTTTGCTGAATGTCTTCATGACATGCCCCATTCTTCAACACTGTACTTTAAAAATTTTTTATTCCCTAAATCTGGCAATTTTACCAAGCATTTATGATGTCTACTCGCAGTGACAGAAAAATTTCTTCTTTTGGCCATAGTTTGTTTTGCTGGACTTGTTAAAAACCCTGTAGGTCCATACTCTTCAACAATACTTCTCATCTTCCTTCTTTTTGATGTTGCTGTTTCCGGGCATTTGATGTTCATCTTTTGGAGACGTTAACACAGGAGAAAGCATCTCTCTACCACTTGCATTTAGTTCTGAGTGATGGAACTCACCATTTTCCTCACCCTTTCCCTCTGTACCAGTTTTCTTCTAAGGGGCGAAATTGTTGCCAGTGACAGTAACTCTGTGACCTTTCACAACAGGAGTGGGAGATCAGGAAATACTGACAAATAAAATTGGCAGCTCAAGCACTAGCAGAGGGAAGCAGCTGACAAGAGCTAACTGCTTTTACCATCCCTCCAACCATCGCATGAACCATGACGTCCTCCAAGCCATGCCTCCAACTAGACTGCATCCACAGCTGCTACAGTAAGCCACTCTGCTCTCAGCCCAGCTCAGATAGGTTCACAAGACATATAGGGCACTGAACACAGCTTCTAACGCTGAGATTTTTACATAGTCTTCTCCCCAGGGGGAAAAACCTGTGTGGCTCAGAATCACAGTAATGAAGCCAAAATGAAACAAAGACCTGAAATCAATCATGCATCACCACCAGGAGCCTTCGCCTGGAGCCAAAGTGGAGAACCCATCGCATCAGCAATGACTGTGCCAGCCTAGTTCCTTTGTCTCAACACTCTGTATCTTTTTCAATTCCAAGTGACTTTAATGATAACTCTGCAGCAACAGAACTTCCCAGGCTATATTACAGGTATACAGATACAGCTACAGTGTCTCTAACTACAACATGCAAGGCTATTATCAATCTATTTGGAAGTCATAACTAGTCGCTTGTCCAGGGTGTTGTGCTTTACTTAACAAAGGATGCTACAAGCATCACAGACTAAGAAGATTTATTTCAGCTTTTGGCCATTTTGCTACAAAAATAGCCTTGTTAGTACCCTATTTCATAGCCCAGCAATGTCCTCTTCAATTCTGAATCGCATTTGATTTCTAAACAATTCAAGGCTAAATGTGGCCTATTTTCCAACCACATACCACTCAGTAAAAATTATACTCAGCCCCCTCCAAATCTGGTACCAGGTAAACAAGCTACTAATTTCTTTTTATTATTTCTTACCAAGAGGCAACACAAGGCTGGGCATGGTGGCTCGCACCTATTATTACAACACCTGGGGAGGCTGAGGCAGGAAGATTGCTTGAGGTTAGGAGTTCAAGACCAGCATAGGCAACAGAGCAAGACCCCATCTCTCCAAAAACTTAAAAAATTAGCCAGGCATGGTGGCACACTTCCATAGTCCTCACAACTCAGGAGGCTGAGGCAGGAGGATGGCTTGAGCTTATGAGTTCAAGGTTACAGTGAGCTATGAACACATCACTGCACTCTAACCTGAGTGACAGATCAAGAACCTGTCTCTAGGAAACAACAACAACAACAACAACAACAAAAGGCAACACAGGAGTTTTGTTCCTTTAAAATACTGCATCTGAAAAAAATCTAAAATTCCTTTAAACTCGTAATTAAAACTAACTTTTTATTATGATCCTCACAGAAGCAGATAATGTTCTGACTTCTGCCCATCGTGGAAAACACACTAAACTAGGATTCAGACAGGCCATTTGTGTAGCCAGCTGGGAAAAATCAGAACCCTGAAATAAATAACAACTGTTTAACTCAGCTTTAGTTATTACTTTTGAGCAGATCAAATACATGAGCTCAAGGATCATCCTCAAAGTAAGTCATAGTTCAGAGTTTTTTCAACACTGATTACAAAACCTCATTTTTGAAACTACGTAACTTCTTTGAAAGATAACAGATTTTTCTTAACTTACGACATTATACACTGTGCCGCATATAAAGAAACTTTAAGATTCAAAATACACTCATTTCTAAGGCTATCCTCTGGAACTGGTTAATACAGAAAGCAAGCAGAATACACTGATTAATAATTCCTTAAACATGCACGTACAGCACCTTAAAATGAGGAGCACAATTTACAACCCTGTGTTGGAAAGTATTTGTGTGCTTAATATTCTGTTCTCTCAGGCAACTAATTTTCTCCCCATTTATTACAGGTAGATGTTGCATTCTTGGGTAATCCCTGTTGAAAGTATTCAAAATGTGTAGAAAAGCATGCCCAAGAAAGATAATAAATATTCATGGTATACTGTTTCATAAATAAGCATCTCAGACTGACTCAGGTCTATCACTGAAAAACAAGAGATTATAACCCAGGGCAGAGAAAATCTGAAAGTCTGGGATTCTAGTCCTGGCTTAGTTATGTGATTTGGAGCAAGTCACTCAACTCTGTGGCTGTTTTCATCTCCTTAAAATGGCATGACTTCGTAGAGATGTTTGAAATGTAAATAATGTTGTATATAAAAATTATTTTTAATCATAGGTAGAAAGGCAGACTATTAGGAAACAAGTTATATAGAAAAAATGTGGGAACACCTTGGCCACCTGACCTTTGGAGGTTTTCACTAATAGGCCATGATCATGGGACCAATCACTGCATGAGTCATAGAGCTTGACACAAACAAAAAATTACGTCCACAGATTTCTCTCAAACCCAACCAAGTATGTTAAAAATATATGCCACGGGTCACTATGGTGACAATGCACATGACAACAAAATCTAACCTCATCACTAGAACAATTCAGTGGTACGATTTTATATTCAACAGACATTACATTTTCTATACTTCTACGGGTGCAGCCCACAGGGAAGGGAAGTGCAGCCTGGGAAGTCCCTGTAAGCACACACACTGCTGCATGAGAGCCAGGGGTGACTCAGAGGCATGCTGGGCCAGCTTCAGCACTCTCCCATCCCATCATCTCCACTCCTGTAAGCACACACACTGCTGCATGAGAACCAGAGGCAACTAAGAGGCATGCTGGGCCGGCTTCAGCACTCTCCCACACTACTGCATGAGAACCAGGGGTGGAACATCCCTGTGAGCACACACACACTGCTGCGTGAGAACCAGAGGCGACTCACAGGTCTGCTGGGCTGGTTTCAGCACTTTCCCGTCCCATCATCTACACCTGCTCTCCCTCTACCATATTCCTGATTATGAACAATTGATATGTTCTCAGTCTTAAAGTGCCATGTAAACTTAGCTTCAAGTCCCCTTTTCCAACTAGATTCATGCCCACCCACCTCCCTTTGATAAAGAAATCTGGAGTTTCCATTGATAAGGACTATAATTTTAAAAGCAACCCGTCATTACACTTCGTATGGGAAACAGGGGCAATCGCACTTTGGGGGAAGGAGGTGCTGCCCCATTCAGCACCTATTTAAGACAGAAAATAAGCAGATGCATGAGTGGGAGTCCCTCTACAATGTGACCAGAGCAGGGAGCACTTCACCAAGAGCTTCTATGTATTTCAGAGTAAACGCACTCATTGGTATAAAAAAAAGAGCCCTTCTGTCAGCTAGGCCCCTGAATGAATGACAGACACTCCTGATAATATTTTCTAGAAAGCGTGGCTTCTCTCCAGCAGCTCCAGGCCATCACTTATTTCTCATTTTGACAAAGTAGCATCCAACTTCAGGCACGACTGTATATATAACTCCACATGCAGCTGAGCCATCATAAACACGCCAAGTATAAAGGCATGTCAAAAAGACATTTTACTTCCCCAAAGCATGGCCCCAAGAAGCCATTATTATAATAGAGTATGAATTTCTGCTGCAGGTTATTAGCCTATAATACTAACAATAAAGTCCTGCTTAGGACATAAAGGCTTACACTGGGACATGAAGTAGTAAGACACAATCCACTGACTATTTTAAATTTGCTGTACACCTAAACCATCTTCTCCATTATACCAATCTGTGTGTGTGTGTGTGTGTGTGTGTGTATACACACGTCCTCTTTCAGTAGAACATAAACTCTGAAGATGAGGTAAAATACAATACAGCTGCTGCTGCTGATGAGCTGTCTGAGTTTCTGCAGACAATCTGCAAAAAAATGGAAGTTCTCAAGGCCCAGTTGCTGGTGTCTCTTTTGAGGCCCCAAAACTTGGTTGATTTATCTTATTGGCACTCTGCATGAATCAAGAGTAGGCTCAAAGGCAAGCCTTATCTCCTGCGAACACAATTCCATACAGGTCTCAACTCAATATTTAAATTTGTTTGGAACTGGCTACAAATTTGGAACTTCCTCAAATGATATTAAAAGCTCTACACAAAAGGTATGCAGAAGCAGTTACTGGTTTTTCAAGAACAAAGACAACTGCAAAAAAGCAACAGTTCTGTAAATGGAGCTGTAGTAAATGTTGAGACAGCAATAACAAGGTAACAAATAGAGCAGAGGATGACCTTTTTGTAAAAAATTGCTGCCTCAATATTTCACTATTTAAAAAAAAGATTCCCACAACATGATCTTCTGAGAGAAAGAATCCACTGCTGTGTTTGAAAGAGGAGTTGGTTCTGGTGGTGAAAGGACTGGGAATGTCGATTAAGATATGCAAGACTATCTAACACAAAGTCCAACATTTGCTTCAGCAACACCCAGTCAGCTCCTGGAGGGTGAAGTCCTGCTCTCTAGCTGTATCCAGGGCTCTTTTCTTGTGGCATTTTAAAAAATGTAGCAGTAGTTGCGTCTGTGGCTTTCTCTGCTGCAGAGGTCCTCACCAACCACTCAGAGCTGGGTGATTTGGGGGCTTGTGATGCTGGTGTGGTTGGCTCCACTGCATCCATGTGAACTAGTAAGGTTACAACAGAGAGGAGCAAAACATCAAGGGGAGATAAATTAGAATAAGACAAATTAGAATGAGAGATACTTAGAAAAAAAATTTTCTTAATCCTTATACTTCATGTCCTAGTAACCCAAGTGGCCACGTAAGGTATCTCTTTCTTCTCTACAAAAAAGTAAAGACAAGATTTAAATAAGATAGTATTTCCTAATCTGAGAAAATGGGTTCAACTGAACAAATAAATTCAGTAGCACGCATTCATAATGTAGTAAAAATCACTTATTACGTACTTATGTGTGTATTGCTTAAACAATGAATACTCATGATCTTGTTAATGCAAACCCTTACTCATAGATGCTCATAGAGATGACTCATAGTGATCTCCACTTTCTAGATCAGGGAGCTAAGGTATACAGAGATCAGATAAATTGTTCAGGGATAAAACAGAGCTGGTTAAATATCAAGATTCAAGCACACATACTGGACTCTAAACCCCACGCTCTTCCTGCCACAACCCATGCCTCCGATAGGGCAGTGTTACCAATAAATATATACCATACAACAAGGAAAATGGTAGAAAAAGAGCACAATCAGGCCCAATATTTTTCAATAAGATCACTAAAGACATTCTGGACAGGAGACATGGCTTGTGCAGGGCTGTCTTGTATACTTCAGAACACTTACCGATCTGGATCCTATCTGCTGAATGCCAGGAACACTCCCCAGTCATTGTGACAAACAAACATTTACTTCACATTTCCAAATGCCCCTGAGTGGAGTGGCACAAACCACCATCATCTCTACCCACTCTGCTGAGAACAAATATATACTAAAATATGGCAAAATCTAGGGAAGTTTGGATTTTACCGTCACCCAATAATTCCAGTCCCAGAAACGTAACCTAAAACAGTAATTTTCAAATTGTGGATCACAAAATCAATTTAGTGGGTCATGGCCATTACTTTTTTTACTCAATGAAAAAAATAGAAAGTATCGGCATGTACCCAAGATTTATTTCAGATTTACATGTACAACCAACGCACATATTCAAACATGAATTTCTTATTGTGGGCTAATGTAAAAATATCTTGAAAGCTGTTACTCTATATACAAGAGTTTCTTGAGGGCAACAGCTTTCAAACATTTTGGAACGTCACCACAGCAGCAGGAAATACATTTGACAACTCAAATCTCTCTCTTTTTCTCTCTCATACACACACACTCACAACAAACTCAGGCACATATACTCACTCATATTTAACTGGTAATAAATTTCAAAAAACTGTACCTACATGGTCACCAAACTGCAGTGAAAAAAGCACTACCCTAGAAAAACTTTTTTGCTATTTTTTATTATAGTAAAATATACATAAAATTTGCTATCTTATCCATTTTTAACTGTACAGTTCAGTCGCATTAAGTACATTCACACTGTTGTATAACTGTCACCACTATTTATCACCAGGACTTTTTCATCATCTCAAATGGAAACTCTGTACCCATTAAACAATAACTCCCCCCATTTCCCTCTTCCCCTAGCCCCTGGCAACCACTATGTTCCTTTCTGTTTGTATGAAGTTGACTATTCTAGTAGCTTATAAAAGTGGAATCACACAATATTTCTCCTTTTGTGTCTAACTTATTTGACTTAGCAAATGTCTTCATCCAATTTGTAGCACATGGCAGAGTTTCATTCTGAATAAGAAAGGCTTTCAAGCTACATAATATTCCATTGTATATATACGGCAAATTGTGTTCATCCATTCATCCAGCAATGGACATGTGATTTGTTTCCACCTTGACGACTGTGAATAATGCTGCTGTAAACAAAGGTATGCAAAAATCTATTTTGAGTCTCTGCTTTTCATTCTTTTGGGTATATGCACAGAAACAGAACTGCTGGATCATATGGTAGTTTTGTGTTTAACTTTTTGAGGAACTGTTTTTTTACATGCTGTTTTCCACAGCAATGCATGATTTTACCTTCCCACAAGCACTACACAAGGGTTCCAATTTCTCCACATCTGCACCAACACCTGATGTTCTCTGTTTTTTGATATAGCCATCCTAATGAGCAGGAAGTGGCCTAAAAGAATGTTTGCACTTGTTCTCTCAGAGAACAGTGCAGTATTTTCCATAATAGCATAAAACAGGAATACAATCCAAATGTTCATCAAGAACATTTAATTATAACATATTAATCATATTCATACAATAGAATACCACATACATGGCAGTTGAAACATAGATTTTGGCAGGACAAAGCATAATTGAATCTCAAAAACAGAACCCGGTGAAAGCTGCAACATAAAATATGACATACTTTGATTTCATATACACAAGGTTCAAAAACACAAAACTGGACAATGTATTGCTTGAAGATACATATGTCTGCTAAAACTACTTGAAAAAAACAAAAGAATGACAAACGATAAAAAACAATCAGAATAACTTTTACCTCTGAGGAGAGCAGGGAGAAGATTTTTAAAGATTTTAACTTTTTAAAACTTTTAAACCTTTTATAAAAGAAAATTTTAACTTTTTCTTAAAGTGAATGGTAGGTACGTGGATATTTGCTGTATTTTATTTACTCCTTACATATCTGCTATAAATGTTCTTTTATACCCCTTCAATATTTACTAAGAAACATGTTTAATTTTAAAAAACATTTAAACTTTAAAAAGACACAGTGGGCAATAAGAATTTGCCCTATGACTCCTGAGAAAAGGGACATCCTAAAATGGAACTACTGAATCCAACCATGTGGTTACAATATATTAGGAATCACTCTGTTTCAACTTTAAGATTCTATTAATTTATTCTTACAACAAATAACCAGTGGGTTTATTCTATGGGCTAGGTATTCATTTAGATGCTAGGGGTACAGTAGTGAACAAAACAGATAAGCAGTCCTGCTCTTGTGAATGCATCTGACAATACATTTGACAATTCAAATCTCTCTCTCTCGCTCTCATATCACTGACCTAGTATTTGAAACCTGATGTAACTAATTAACAGATTAACTATTAGGTACCCTTCTGAATGATACTCTAAGCACACATATCCTATCCCAGAAAGAGAAAGGTCAGAAAAAGTTTTTGGGATAGCTAAAATATACTCACACAAATAGCTGGGTTCTCAACAGAATTTCTGATCACCTCAATTCCGCTTTATCAAAAGGCATGTGTTTACTTTTTAAAGGATTGGAATCTGCACACCAATGGCTCTGATCTACCATTCTGATGAAGAAAATCATTTCAAGAAAACGAAGCCTGGTTTTCATCTGGGTTTATTATGTTTTTTACAGCTACTTGGTCTCAAATTTTGGAGAAGATAATCTTTTTTTTCTTTTCTGACTACTTTCTTTAAGAGCATATTCAGCTAGTTCACTTCAGCATGAGGGAGACACTTGCAGGGAAATCCCTGTTCTGGTGTATCAAGTCTGAGAAGCAGGTTAGCATGCTTGCTCACTAAGATCCAGGGTGTGGTTCTGTGCACTAGACACCTGCATGCTAGAAAGCCGTAAAGGAGGGAGAATGAAGATACAAAGAAAATAAAGGTGCTACACTTTCAAGATGGGTCTATTTAACAACCTATGGTCATTTACAGTCTTTTTCCTTGGCCTTTTGTTACTATTAGTACAAAAAGGCAAGGAAGACATGCTGTTTCTTCCTGCTCTTCACCTCTCTAGCCTTATTAATATCTTTAAATTCAGTCAATTGCAACTCAAAACTTTCTACCACTGGGGGAGGGGAAAAAGGGAAAAGATTTGTGGCTGCATGTTTAAGAAAGAAGCTGAATTCATCACAGTGACAGGGGAGAGTGTTGGCAGAGATCTGAGCTATTTATTCTTTTAGGAAAATCCTATAAAGAATGACACAAGGAAGCCTCTATCTGCAGTCTTGTTCATCACACTGGTGAAGAGTCCGATAACAGATGTATGCCGTAGCGTGATTTAGTGCTAGGAGCTGGCCCCTGATGTGTATTAATACAGCGGCAAAGCGGAACCCACCTCTCTTCATCACTCATTCCTATAAAAGAGGTGGAATCCGAGATGGCCCGATGTTAGGCAGAGCAAGCCCATTTGTTCTACTGACTGATGGCTCAGACTCAGGCTATGTCCTTCACCTCCATGGGGCACTCAGGTTGTGGGCAGAAAAAAAGAAAATGCTCAGTGAAGCAGGGCTTAGTCAACAAGTGAGGAAAGGAGCTGGGCTCAGGAGGGGAAATGCTTAATGCTCAAGTCTTGTTTAATACCCACCCCCACACACGTACACTTCCCAACCTGAAAATGGAACAAGGATTTTAAACTCTTTCCAGTGGTTCCTCTCTTATAAACAATTAAAAGCTAAAAATAAAAGCTAGATATTAAGGAGAAAAAAAGAACAAAAAGATGAAAGAGGGGTGGTTTTCTTTTAATGCTTCCAATACCATAGACTGAATGAGGATCTGAGTTTTGATGCACAGTCATAGTCTAGACTTGATCTTGTTTTATATAAAAAGAAGAACATCTGCAGGACAGCTCTAGAGTCACAAGGAAACCGGTCTGATCTTGGCTCTGCAATTTATCAACCATGTGGCCTCAGGGAAGTGATTTAAGCCTTGGTTTTCTCATGTGTAAATTGGGAATAAAAACAGCATCTACCTTATAAGGCTGTTGCAAAGATTAGGTGAAATAATGTTTACAAAGTGTTCAGCTCAGGGCCTGGCCATGTGGAAAGCACTGAAAAAAAAGTACTATAATCATCAGACCTGTAATGAAGATTGTCCAGTATGAACCACCATAAAGCAGACTTTCCAAACAGAAGCACAAAGAGGACAATTTCACAGTTCACCAAAACTTACTAAGTTAAGGTAGAGGATAGGGCTCCCTCCCCATCTGTGTGAGGTTTACTCTCTATTCAGCTATCAACTGTTCTGATTTATATAATAGGTAGTATTTTCTAAAGAAAATAAAATATTCAATGGTATATTCAATATCCAGTTTTCTCACTGAAATATTAATAAATACATAACTCTCCCCTTTTTTTCATTGAAGGATAACATACACACAGTGAAGGACATCAACCCTAAGTGCACAGCTCCAGATTCTACCTATGTAAGCAGCCACACACCCCCACCAAGTTCATCATATGGAGCATTGCCAACAGCCCAGAGGGTTTCTTTGTGCCCTCTCTTGGTCACTGCCCCCCACCAAAGAGAAGCACTATTTTGGCTTCTACCAATTAGTGTTAGTTTTGTTAAAAAAAAAAAAAAAAAAAACTGAAAAGTTTTAGCCTAAAAAATTGTTTTTAATTAGGAATGTCATGACCAGTAAAATATTAGCATTCTACTTATAAAAGCAGTAAGAATGTACTGTACTGTATGCAAAATAAGAAAGTAAATAACCCTGTGTGACTGCCTGACTGAACTGCCACTTCACCTGGACTTTCATTAACATGGACCTAATTTCCTGTCTGCTAAAACAAAAGCTCAGATGACTGGAGATTGCTGATAGTGGAATATAGGGTTTCAAACTCTAGATAGCCATGTAACAGTGAAAAAGCACAGACTTCAGAGTCAGCAAGAACTAGGCTAATTATTTCTTGTAGTCTCAGTTTTCCCATGTAAAGTGGGAATAAAATGACCTACACTATCACAAACATTACATGAAAAGGTATACAAAACACATAATTTAGTGCCTGGCACACGGTACATGCTCAATAAATGATAACTGCATGTAATCACCTGCACTGGGGCTAGACAAAGATGCTGTGGCCACTGGTTTCCGCTTCCTCTTGATGTCACGTGAACATGGTGGTCCCCAGTGTACATTTGCCTGTCTGCAGATGTAAGAAGAAGAAAAATGGTTTGAACTTTTTAATTCTTATTGTAAGACATTACATGTAGCCCAGATTAAATCCTTAACCTATTACAGACATAAACAAAATGGGCACCATCTTTTGCCATTAAGCATTGGGACAACATTATTCAGAATTAATAATAACTCACTCTTTATCCACAATACACACCCATTCTAAACTTTTTACCTGATTTCAGTGTAGCAGACATTCAAGATTAATTTCAATAAATATGTGTTGCATTACATGCTTATTTTTATACAATTATTTTTCATAAAAACTATAACCACAATTGCTCTAAACTCACTAATGAAATACTTACTCCCAAGAGGTAATACATTGAAAAGTTTAATGCTGCATGAACACAGATATTTGCATAGAATTTTAATAGGAAGTTCAACCTCCTGTCATGTAAATCTGAATTTTTAATACTGTCTACATCACAAGTTAAGTAAGTTTAGTTTCTGTGACTTTTAAAAATATTAATTATGCTTTTTATTTTACAGGTAAAAAAATAAAAATATTAATTATGTGACAATATGTTCCTTCATCTGAATACTCAGCTTATTTTAAAAGCAAACGATTCTGTGAAAGACAATGGGATTAACACTGAACTACGTGGTATGCTATTTTAGTTCACCACTGTTCCCCAAGAATGTATTGTACTGTATGCAAATTAAGAAGTAAAATAAAAATCTTTACGTATGTGAAGATTTTGTCCCTCTCAAACTAGACAGATCCTGCCTCTGATTAAAGACCAAAATGAGTCTCACCTTTACACAAAGTGTTCCTTGAACATTTGGGGCCTCATCTACCATGAAGCAATGTTTAACTGGTGTGCATATATCTTGCTTCTCTAATGAAACAAGAAGGCTTAATCTCTTTGAGATTAAGAACAGGGATCTTGAGAACAGAAACTTTATTTACACTTCTTTGATAATTTTCCAATGATCTACCAACCTTGGCTCAAGGCACACAGGCGATCCTCATTAGCTGTTGATTAAAACTGCTATGAATGAATAAAAGTTCTAAAAATCAAATGGCCACTTGAACACTTAAAAGTGATTAAAATAGTAAATTTTATATTATGTACATTTTACCACAATTTTAAAAAACTAGCCAAAGTAAATAACATATAAAATTATACCAGATAAACTCCTAATCAGTAGTCCCAGCTGAGGATTAAGACCCTTAGTAGTCTTAAAACTGGAACCTCAGACAAACCTAAGAAAACCTGGTTAGCAAGGCAACAAGGCAGCTGTTGAATGGACAAATTTTTTGACTCAGAAAGTCCCCAAAATAACTTGCACAGTTGAAAAGGGTGCATGCATGCGTGCACGCAAGCATGAGCGTGCACACACACACACACACACACTTTCATGTCTCTAAATAGCAAAAGCTTAAGAGTCAATTCAATTTATAAATAGGAAAATATAAGAATTTGACTAAAATCCTAAGAAATTCTTTAGGAATGCAAAGAATGCTACAGGCTGAGATTTATAATACAAAGCCAGTGGTTTGGAAAATTCCATCCAAAGCACCTTTTATTGATCACTCTGTCCTGTACAGAAAATTAAGTCAAATACCTCATGAATAATTAATTCTGAAAGCTCAAATAGTTAATTCTAAATAGCTAATTATCAATGTGTAAAGTAGGGAAAACGCTTCCTTTTTCATACCTTGCATAAATCCTGGGAACAAGTCTAAGCAGCATGCTGATTTAATAATAAATTAACACAGGTGACAACATCAAAGGGAGACAGGACTTCAGTCTGAACGGAGTGGTGGTAATTCCCTTTGAAGTCCAGACACAAGCAGAAAATAAAGTGACACTACAAAATTGTGTTTCTCCTCAAAACAGAGAAATGTAGAACACATAGAGCATCCATCTTTTCCACAAACATAAGACTTGAGTACATACCCAAACTGAGACTATCCAAGCACTCTGATCTTATTCAATCATCCTTATCCTCAGGCATGATTCAGAAGGAGAAACAAAGTCAAACAAAGGCTAACAGTGTATAGTCATGCTTCTTTCCTCTTTATCTGAAGCTCATTAAAGGAACCTCCAAAGCTTTTCAGAAAAAATGTTAACACCACTGATTCAAGCTAAACCATGTTACTGTTAGACATCAGGATGGTGGCACTCTACAGCAGTGGTGAGGGGGAAGACAGGCAGAGAAAGAGGCACAGGGAGCTTCTGGGGTTCTTTCTGATAACTCTCTTTTTCTTCATCTGGATGCTTGTTACTTGACTGTAACTTTGTGACTGTTTATCAAGTGTATATTTCTTTGTACTCTTCCCTGTATGTTTATCCTTCAATAAAAAGTTAATTTAAAACATTGCTTCTTCAAGATCACAGTTTACAATATGCTGAGTTTCATGAGACAGATGCAAAATGAGAAGCATAAGTACTCAAGAAGTATATTAAGATACTAATTCTTGGAGTATCAACTTGAGCTGAACTACACAAATACTGCCTTTTATTTGCCCCCATCCATCATTTTCACCATTTTGCGTGTTTGATATATGTCAGTAACATGGGAAAAGGCCCATATTATCAACTCTTTTATGGATCTAGTCAGTACTACTTATCTCACACTTTCGAGGAATGACAGTGTCATTTTGGAATTTAAAAAAAAAAACCATTTATACACTAAAATGTTAAAGTTTTTAACAACTTTTAATGGAAATGCTTATTTACTTTAGCAAACTGAGAATAAGTATTACTTACCTATTATTACGCACACAGGTTATTATACCACAACATCTTAGGGTGCTATTGTGGGTTCAATGGCTCAGGTGGTCCTTCCACCACCACCCTGCTCCTCTAGGCGATATTGTTAAGCCTTCAGGTCAATTGTCTCTACATTAAGTGACCCTTGACTGCTATGCCTCCAGCATATTACTTCTCTCTGTGGTAAATGGTCTACTTCTACCACCCCATTCCTACCTCTAACTGTTGCCTTGAATATCTTAAATCCTTCAGATTTTGTAAATTCCTCTGGTTATAACAGGAAAGAACTGAAGACTTTCTAAGGAAATCAAGTAAAGAAACTTGTTAAGTGAATTATTTTATTGTAAAAGTATATACTTTTGTGGACTATTTCCTTTCTACTAAGCAGTTTTGTTGCTTCTTTCATTGTTCACTAAATTTTTACTGAGCACCTACTCTTGCCAAGCACTGTACTAAACACTAGGGATATAGTGATAAACAAGAGACAATCTCTGCCTTGATGGATCTTATAGCCAAGTCCTATCTGCAGCTGCACAGCTTTTCAGGTTACAGAATATGAATAACAAAGAAACTAGGGTATCAATGAAGAGAAGGTATGTTCGTTTTTAAAACTCAGTTTAAATGATCCTTCCCTCTTAAAACATTTCTCTTAAGACCCATTTCAAGGTTGGAGAGCTATTTCATAGGAGGTAGAATAACATCATATCTTCGCTGTCAGTATATGAGGACATTTTTCTCTATGTCCCTTCCTAGACAAGATTTGGGGAGGGAAGAAGAGAAATGATCAAACTGTTATAACAGGACAGTAAGACATTTTGCTTCTTCCTTGGTTTTAAGTGAACATTAGTACTGCTAGAGTTTACAGCTTGGGAAAATCTATTTTTCTATGTGAAGTCCCCATCTGCTTGGAAAGAACCCTAGAGGACAAAGAAGGAAGAGGACCCAGAACAAGCCTGCTACACAATGGAATACTATTCAGGCGTTTAAAAAAAAAAAAAAAAAAGAGTAAGTCCTGTCATTCACAGCAACATGGATGGAACTAGAGGACATTAGGTTAAGTGAAAACAAGCCAGGAACAGAAAGTTAAACACATTGAGTTCTCACTCATAAGTGGAAGCTTAAAAAAGTTGATCTCATAGAAGTAAAAAGTAGAACAGAGGATACTTCAGGCTGGGGTAGGGGAAGGAAGGGATAGAGAAGGATTTGTTAAAAGATATAAACTTATAGCTAGATAGGAGGAATAAATTCTAGCATTCTATAGTACTGTAAGGTGACTATAGTTAACAATTGTATATTACACAGTTTCAAATAGCTAGAAGGAAGATATTGAATGCTTCTAACAAAAAGAAATGATAAATGTTTGAGCAGATGGATATGCTAATGACCCTGATTTGATCACTATTGTATGTATTGAAATGCCACTGTGTACCCCATAAATATGTATAGTCATTATGTGTCAGTTTTTTAAAATAAAATAAAATTTTAAAAAGAAGAGGAAGAAAAAGAGAACAAGCCTGGGGAAAAGAAGGAAGTTGGGTGCTTAGAGCAAGAGGATTTAGAGGCAGGAAATGGAAGCTGTCATGTGGCACGGCACATTCAGAATATTAGCACAGCCCTGCTCAGAAGTGAAGAATATTACATGTGGGGTTGGCAGGGCTGCCTGTATTATTTTGGGGAACCTTACCATGTGGGTAAGGCAACTGCTACAGCTTCGGCTTCCTATTGACAAGACAGTTCCAGTTTTTTGTTCATCCCCAAATTCCAGATCATCAATTGCAGACATAAAAAATTAAAGAAGGGAAGGAAAAATAAGGAGGTTGACCACTTCCCCAACCCCATTTTCATTTAGGGGTACTTAACAACCACTTGACTCCTTTTCTTTTTAATGTGTTATTTATTTAATGTGTGTTATTTTACTTTGAAAGCATCACTGTTTACTCTCAAAATGGAAACTAAAAGAGGGACAAAAGCACAAATGCAGTAACAACAAGGATAGAGAGTCTGAACTTCCCTTTCTCACCAACACAGAGACCCTCCCTACAAGTAGAAAGGTTGAAAGAGTAACGAGATATTTCAGAACTCTTTTTCAAGTGTAGTATATGGTTGTTCTTGGGTTGCAAACCATGTAATACGTTAAGGGAAGTGATCTTTCAATTAGGCACATTGTATAAAAGGCTAAGTATAAGTTAAAGTCTCCACCAAGTTAAAACTTCATTCTCAACTGGAGTGGCAAATGGTTATCCGAATTATATAAGGAGCTTTTACTAAATACACATGTCCCTATCAAGATCCTAATTCAGTAGGCTGGGGAGGAGTGGGAGCAGAATCAGTAACATATTTATTTTGAAATTTTTCCCTGGGTAATTCTGATAAGCACCTACCTACTTCGAAAATTACTGAGTTGAAAAATCTACCAAATTCCCAGAGCCAACCTAGTCAATAATAGAGATCTAAGTATTCAACCTAAAGAATAATAGAATGATTAAATGAATATAAATTTAGATAAAAATACTGTTCCCCAGTATATATGCAATTAGAGAAAAGACAGGCTATGCCTGTTCTGTTTCATCTGATCAGGGCCTCAGGGACAATCTTCACTCAGGCCAGCGAAACCTGGGGTATACGCTTCTTTCATAGTGTAAGTGTGGGATCAGTACTTCCCCTAAGAGTGTCATAGTTTCCCCACTGTGGTGGTATTTGCCAGGGCAGAGTTGGAAGAATGAGCACTAAAAGCAAAAAATTTTTATTTTTAAATAAGAATTTAAAAAAAATTCTTATCTCAGAAAAAGTCATTAAATTGTTATTACAAGTGTGAAGGTGAATGCTGAAATTAACAATTAATGGAAAGAGGATTCTTTCTATCCAAGCATAAACACAACATTTCTATTTTCTTTTTTACTGCAGGTAACTGAAAGATCAGGTGAGTTGTTAAAACTGCAGTGTTACTTAGGAAACCGGGCAGATCACTATGTCCTTGGGGCAGGAATGTACTTTTAGGGAAAAAAAAATACTTTGAGAAATACATGCATGTTTAATAGAACCAATGTTGGCAAAAAATAACTGAAGTGACTGCGTTAGATTTGGAACAAAGATCTTTAGAGTCACTCCTAAGGAGAGAAAACAGTCTGTCTGCGAATGGCAAGCTAGTTTAAGGAATAGTTCACCTTCAAAAATCACTCATTTTTAAAGTTAATGAAAAGTTCATCTTTTTATATAGAATAAAAATCCTCAAAAAACTGGGTATAGAAGGAACATACCTCAACACAATAAAAGCCATATATGACAGGCCCACAGCTAGTATCATACTGAATGGGGAAAAACTGAAAGGCCTCTCTTCTAAGATATGGAACATGATAAGGATGCCCACCTTCACCACTGTTACTCAATTTAGGACTGGAAGTCCTAGCTAGAGTAATCAGACAAGAGAAAGAAATAAAGGGCATCCAAACCGAAAAGGAAGACATCAAAGTATCCTTGTTTGTAGATGATATGAACTTATATTTGGAAAAACCTAAAGACTACCACAAAACTGTCAGTAGTGATAAACAAGTTCAGTAAAGTTGCAAGATAAAAAATCAACACAAAAAATTCAGTAGCATTTCTATATGCCAAGAGTGAACAATCTGAAAAACAAATTTAAAAATTAACCCCATTTATAGTGGCCACAAATAAAATTAAATACCTAGGAATTAACTTACAGAAATAAAAGATCTCTATAATGAAAAATATAAAACATGGATGAAAGAAATTGAAGAAGACACCAAAAAAACTGAGAGATATTCCATGTTCATGGATTGAAAGAATCAATATTGTTAAAATGTCCATACTAGCCAAACCAATCTACAGATTCAATGCAATCCCTATCAAAATACCAGTGACATTCTTCACAGAGATAGGAAAAAGAATCCAAAAATTTATATGCAGCCACAAGAGACCCAGAACAGCCAAAGCTATCCTAAACAAAAAGAACAAAACTGAAGGAACCACACTACCTGGCTTCAAATTATACTACAGAGCTATAGTAACTGAAATAGCATTGTACTGGCATAAAAACAGACACATAGACCAATGGAACAGAATAGAGAACCCAGAAACAAATCCACACATGCAGAGTGACCTCATTTTCAGCAAAGGTGCCAAGAACATATACTGGGGAAAAGACAGTCTCTTCAATAAATGGTGCAGGGAAAACTGGATATCCATATGCAGAAGAATGAAACTAGACCCCTATCTCTCACCATATACAAAAATCAAATCAAGTAGATTAAAGACTTAAATCTGAAATCTCAAACTATGAAACTACTATAAGAAAACATTGGGAAAAATCTCCAGGACATTCGTCTGGGCAAAAATTTTTTGAGTAATACCCCACAATCACAACAACCAAGGCAAAAATGGACAAATGGGATCACATTGAGTTAAAAACCTTCTGCACAGCAAAGGAAACAATCAACAAAGTGAATAAACAACCCGCAGAATGGGAGAAAATATCTGCAAACTACCCATTTGACAAAGGGTTAATAATTAGAATATATAAGGAGCTCAAACAACCCTGTAGAAAAAAAATCTAATAATCCAATCAAAAAAGATTTGAACAGATATTTCTCAAAAGACATACAAGTGGCAAACAGGCATATGAAAAGATGCTCAATATCACTGATCATCAGAAAAATGCAAATCAAAACTACAATGAGACATCATCTGACCCCAGTTAAAATGGCTTACATCCAAAATACAACTAATAATGCTGGTGAGGATGTGGTGAAAAGGTAATCTTCGTACACTGTTGGTGGGAATGTAAATTAGTACAACCACTATGCAGAATAGTTTGGAGGTTCCTCAAAAAAACTAAAAATAGAGCTACCATATGATCCAGCAATCTCACTATTGGGTAAATACCCAAAAGAAAGGAAATCAGTATATCAAAGAGATATCTGCACCCCCAGGTTTGCTGCAGCCCTGTTCACAATAGCCAAAATTCGGAAGCAACCTAAGTGTTCATCAACTGATGATGGATAAAGAAAATGTGGTGCATATACACAATGCAGTACTATTCAGCCATAAAAAAGAATGAGATCCTGTTATTTGCAACAACATGGATGGAAATGGAGATAATTATATTAAGTAAGATAGACCAGGCACAGAAAGACAAAAATCACATGTTCTCACTTATTTGTGGGATCTAAAAATCAAAACAATTGAACTAATGGAGATAAAGAGTAGAAGGAGGGTTACCAGAGGCTGGGAAGGGTAATGAGGGTGGTGGGGAATGTGGATGGTTAATATGTATAAAAAAATTGAAAGAATGAATAAGATCTACTATTTGATAGCACAACAGGGTGGCTACAGTCAATAATAATCTAACTGTACATTTTTAAATAAAAGTAAAATTGGTTTGTTTGTAACACAAAGAATAAATGCTTGAGGGGATGGATACCCCATTCTCCATGATGTGATTATTACGCATTACATGCCTATATCAAACCATCTCATGTACCCCATAAGTATATACACCTACTACAAACCCACAAAAATTAAAAATTAGAAAGTTAATAAAATTCAATGTAAAAATGGTATTTGTTTTCTATACTTTTTCTTTAACACAAGTAACACCAGGAAAAAATTTGATATTTCTAGGGACCAAAGTTCATATATATATTCCAATTATTCTGCTTAATTACTAATCTATTCACCTCAATTATTTTTAACAAAAATGTATGGAGGCCTACCCAATGTAACATACTATGCTGGATGTGCAGAGGGAGATAAAAGATGACTGAGCTGAGGTCCTGTCCCCAGGAGCTCACAACACAGTAGGAAGGCCAATTCCTAAAGAAAGAATTAATACTCCGAGACACTGAGTTGTAATCAGAGAACAAGTAAGTGCTAGGGTAAAAGGAGAAAAAGGAGGATTAAATCTAGAGATTTAATCCCTAGATTAAATGTGAGACTCCTTTCTCACATGTGATTTTACCTTTAAGGTTTACTGACATTTATTAAGCAGTCAGGAGGGGAAATATTTTCATAGACTTGCACCTGGGAAAAGATCTAGGCCTATGGCACTAGGAGCAGATAGGAAGAAAAGAAAAAAAAAAAACACTTCACAATTATCATAGGAAACAGAGGAGGCTTATCTAACAGGAAGCGATCCTAGCAATTCCACTAATGATTTTCACTTAAATCTAACCCTCAGTAGTCTGTGACAAACTGCTCACTGGCACCTGAAAATTCTCCCTAATCTAATTCCCTTAGCTGGGCTAAAGTAGGCATATCTATGAAGCTGTTTCATGCCGCCCATAAGAGCCAAATCATTTCACATCAGTTGGAAAGATGGGTATCTTACAATGGAAAAACAGAGAGAGAGAAAATGCTTTCATCATTCCACTTAGGCAGTAAGATGCCAGCCAGCTGAGAGCCACTGTCAACGAGACCCTCCAATAGAGGACAAAAGATTCAAGAACTGTGTACTATACAATGGGCAATTCCAATAGGCTTGGGCAGCCTTATAGACAATACTATAGCAGAAACTGCTTCACACATGTGGCTGAAACTGAGGCATTAAAGAGGTGAGAAAGCAACACTGTGCTTCACAGCATCAACAGATACAGGACTAATAAAAGGTTCCTTCCCCCAAGCCCTGAGGTAAAACCTCAGGCTGTTTATTATGGCTCCAAAGGTCAAAATTAATAGCATGAAGTGAGTCTTCTTCTTACTCTTTGAAACTCCTTGTCAAGTGGCACAGCCAGCTGGGCACACAACTCTGATATGCAGATCATAACGTTTGTGAACAGATAAAATGAATTACAAATGAGCTCAGCCTATCCTATTTCAACTCTCTAATGGGCAGGAAGGTCTCTCTCTCTTTTTTTTTAACCCCAACTCTGTCCAAATGCCTCCTCTTATAGACCATTTGAGGTCATTTAAGCACCTCAAGAATCAGTATTACATCTAATTAGCAAATGACTCTGGAAGCCAACTCAAAGTTTTTAAAATTGCAATTATCCTAAGGATGGGGTAGGGCAGTAACTACATAACAAAAATAATATTGGTTACCAGGATGCTCAATATTTACATATATTATTTCATTTTGGTCCCCATTCAACCAATTTAAAAAGTATTGATATTTCCATTTTAAAGATGTAGAAATTGAGGTATGGGAAGATTAAGTCATTTGCCTGGGTAAAGCCCGGATTCTCGCCCAGGTCTGCCTGACACTAATATCTACACTCTTAATCTCCTACCACCTATGCCAATGGACTATGAAGAAAGTAGAAGCTATGAAACTTTTCATCCATTCATTAAGAAACACGTATAACATTTGCATACCAGGCTGATATCTGCCATCCTTACCACAACTAAAAATAAGATTTCTCAAAGAAAAAACAGTTTATTTACAAAGGAAGCTGACCTATATGAAAAGAAGATATCAGTGCTTTGCTATTTCAGAGCTTAAAGAAAGAATAAATTAAAATGGTAATGCTTGACCAAATTATCTTCCAAAATAAAGGAAAGGTCACTAAAAGTTGACCTTTCCTTTGAGTTGGAGAAAACTAAAACACTGCCATGAAAAGTTTTTGCACTCAAAAACTGCAACTGGTGATTGATGAATCACATAGATGCAACTGACCTGTATGTAGCAATTGATAAATCCTAGCTATCATTTTCTTTGGTAATAATAGTAAGAAAAACTATCCTTCACAATCAACAAATCTCTCATTTTGGGAAAAACTGCTTGCAGCACTAGTCTTCTTATTACAAGTTTGTGACTGTGCCCTTAACAATACCACTGCCTCTACCAGAACGCCAATCACACCATCTGCTGTTTGGGCAGCAGCAATTCTTAACACCAATACCAGGTATCACACCTTTAACAGCAAATCCCAATACTAGCAACCAAAACAACCAAACCAAAACACTTGGTTTATGGATTTCATCTACACACCCAGCCAACAATCCAACTATCCATATATCCACCTGACAAAACTCTGCCCCTGATCCATTTATTAAGAACTATGTGCTGGGCACCGTGCAGATACTAACACTCTTCTCTACCTGCAGTAGGTTCTCCAAAGCTAAGAGAAGTCCAGAGGTCTACCTCCCGTAAGGAATGGTGCATACCATACCAAAGTACAGAGTTTGCACCAATTATGAAAGGGGAGACCCTATTAAGCAAATTACAAAGCACCAGTCACAAAACCATATGCATTTAGGACAACAGTTCTTAACCCTGGCTGGCATATTAATCACCTAGGGAGCTTTAAAATAATGCCAATGTCTAGGCCTTATCCCAGACCAATTAAATCAGAATCTCTGGAAGTGGGGCCCAGCACGGATATATTTTCTTAAAGCTTCTTAGGTGATTCCAACTTGCAGCCAGGGTTGAAAACCACCAAGTTAACTATTTCCAGAGTGCTATTCCTGAAATCCACAAATCTATTAGATGGTACAAAGACCACAAAACTCTCCCTCCCATCCACTGCACCTGTCATCTGGGCTGTATTATAACGCTACATCAATAAAATGTTATTTTAATATTATGGTCCAATTATTTATTTGTTTATAGCAATGAAATATTAAACAAGAGAGGATTTTAGGTCATGCACCATCCTCCCAATGCCCCCCGCCCCCACCTATTCTGAGAACCAGAAGGGCATATGGTTCTAGCAGGGAGGAAACTGTTGAAAAGCCCTTGCTCTTGCTTAGGAGAATGGAATTGGCAGTGTCCAGGCAAGAAGCAGCCTCAGCTCAGTAACCTGACAGGAGGGAACCTTCATAGTTCAGGCATGATTATCAAACTCTTTGTGCTCTTAAAGGAGAGTAATTATAGGCATGTGAAAAAAGGGAAGCACTCCCTGAGGAACTCTTCCTCACATGCTTCCCAAGAGGCAGTAGGGCCATTAAAAATTCCATGATGAAGAGGAAAAACAGCCTGGGAACAGCCAGGAGGCAATACAGCAAATTAATACACCAGCCCTCCTCGGGGAAAGCTGTGATAAAACAGGAAACACTTCTCTCTTTGCAAAATAAAATTATACCACTAATGATAACATTGTCGCCACACACACACACACACACACACACACACACACACACACACACCATGCTAATGATGCATGTGAAATTTCCAATGCTGCCCAGGTGCTTTGAAAGAAATGTTTCCCTACTACAAATAAAATGGGACAAGAAAAAGACACAATTTCCACTGGAAACAGTTTTTAGTATAGTCATTCACCTGCCTCTTCCCTGCCACTACTCCTTCACACTCCTCCTTGGTGCCAGGCTTTTGCTAAATGATCCACTCTTTGCAAAGCCTACTGCCCAGTTCTGAATCCAATCTCATCAGTCTGCCACACTGGAGCTAGACGGTTCCATCTTCACTAACCCCTTGCTGGGGAGGAACGATTACAAAGGAGTGACCAGTTGCCCTGAGAGCTCAGTATGTCATCATTCACATTTTCTAAAAATTGCATAGAAGTCACTTGCGCTGATCATTTCCCATGAAGCAGTGGTTGCCAAGCTTTATTGAGGTGCACCCTCATGAGTAAAAAATCTGAAAAAAAATTATGTATGTAGTACATATACATAAAATATAAATACGTGCTACTAGACACATATGTATAATTTAAAACAAAAAAAATTTTGCTATAATTTTTTTGCTATAAATAAATGTAAGTTTAAAAATTTTCTTTCCCTTTCCCAAAGAACCTTCATGTATGCAACCCACTTGGTATCTACTGCCCTGGGTATGACGTCTAGAAGTAAGGACAAAGACGATGCATGATTGTCCACATTCTCTTTCCTTTGCTTTCAGCAATGGTCTAAAACAATAAGCAATATTACCCTAGAGCTGAGCATACCAGAAGCATAGTAGAGACTTCCTCAGGTTTCCAAGTTCAGCCACAAACACTGCCAGGCAAAAGAGTGAAGACAGTGGTATGGATAATGAGATACACAAAGAAACAAGAAGCTGATGCCTAGTCCAGCCACAGGATAAGGCTTTTAAAGGAAACAGGAAACCTGACAAAAGTACGAATACTGATCTCAGCACAGCACAGCTCTAGGTAGCAGAGGTAAAGAGAGGAGGGAAAGTAATCCACTTTCAGCATTCTGACATGATATCATGCTACTCAAATCATTTTCCCAAACAGTATACACAGACATTATTTTATTTGGTATTAAGACAAAAAGCTAAAGGACTGTTTTCCTATGGATTAAAATCCTGTTGTCTTCTATGACAGCTTGAGCACAACCACCTCTAAAAAGATCTCCCTGAGCCTTGACATTAGGGGCCCCTCCTCTGTGCTTTTTCAAACCTTTATTGTAGTTGTCAACTTCCATACCTGACTTTCCCATGAGAATGTAAGCTCCTTGAGGGCAGTATCTAAACAAAGAGCTGGCTCATAGTAGGGTTCCAGCAAACGCTGAATGAATTAATGATGAATAAACATCATGCTACTGAAGGAAAGGCCTTACTACTAATAGTTTATATCATTCCACAATTTTCCACATTCTTTTCTTTTTTTTTTTTTTTTTTTTTGAGACAGGGTCTCACTCTGTCATCCAGGCTAGAGTGCAGTGGCATCATCACAGCTCACTACAACCTTGACCTCCTGAGCTCAAGTGATCCTCCCACCTCAGCCTCCCAAGTAGCTGAGACTACAGGTGTACATCACCAGACACAAATGATTTAAAAAAAAAAAATTTTGTAGAAACAAGGTCTCACTCTGGTTCAACATTCTTTTTTTTTTTTTTTTTTTTTCTTTTCTGAGACGGGGTCTCGCTCTGTCCCCCAGGCTGGAGTGCAGTGGCGCGATCTCAGCTCACTGCAAGCTCCGCCTCCCGGGTTCACGCCATTCTCCTGCCTCAGGCTCCTGAGCAGCTGGGACTACAGGCACCCGCCAGCACACCTGGCTAATTTTTTGTATTTTTAGTAGAGACAGGTTTTCACCGTGTTAGCCAGGATGGTCTCGATCTCCTGACCTCATGATCCGCCCACCTCGGCCTCCCAAAGTGCTGGGATTACAGGCGTGAGCCACCGCGCCCGGCAGTTCAACATTCTTAATAACACCATTTGTGATGGTCTCTCTTTTCAAAAGACATTCCATACAGAAATACCACTTCTTCAGTAGAAAGACCTGGCAGTAGGTTATGGTGCAAAATTTATTATTATAGCCCATAGTAGAAGTTCTAACTGTATCCATGAAAGTAACTTCTTTGTGCAGCCTGAACCTCAAAAGCTATGAACATAACCATTTAAGAACTTATTAGGAATAAAAAAGAGTCATCAGAACCTTGGAAAGAAATTCTTTGTGCCACCAGAAACAGTACAACTTCTAGGGTCCAGCCTATTAGCTACTCTTTTCTGCATAACAGCCCTGTAGGGGGTGCTACAATTAAAACCATATTTACTTCCCATGTCACCTAAAAGAATTTATATTTGTAAGGAGTCACTCGTTTGACTAATATATGTTAATGCCTAACAAGTCCCAGATACTGTGTTAGGTGTTATGAAGTTATCAGGGAACAAGACAACATCCCAGTACTTTGAAGCTTATATTCTAGTGGGAGAGACTGAGGGATAAAGTGAAAAAGAAAAAAATTAAAAAAGAAAAACCAAACCAACTAAAATAAACTAATAAGCAAATCCAATTCAGACTGTGATAGAGCCATAAAGGAAACAAACAGATAACGAGCAGGAAGTGCTGGAGGTGGCCCCTTAGACGGGATGGTCTGAGTGGTCCTCCTTGACGAGGTGGCACCTGAGCTGAGACAAGCAGCAGCTCAAAGACAGTTTTCCAGTCAAAGGGAAGAAGTGCAAAGTTTCAGCGGCAGGAAAGGACTGCTGCAATTTTTGAAGAACAAAACAGAACTCCCTAGTACTGCTGGATCTCTCTCCCACAGAGGGAGAAAATTATACGAAAGGAGGCTGTACATGTAGGGAGAAGTCAGATTATGCAGGGTATTGCAGGCTCATGGCAAGGAACATTAATAATGTTGTTTGAAGATGGGGCTTTTAGCAGCAGAAATAAAATGAAATATGAGCCAGAAGACTTAGGTCAAAGTTGAGACTTAATCACATACTAGCCTTGGACCACAGGAAAGATACTTCACTGCTCTGCCTCAGTTTCTACATCTGTAAAACATCTATTTACCTCAAAAGATTGTCAGGATCAAATTGGATACTGTACACAAGCATACTCTATAATTTGAGGGGTAATAGAAAGGAATATAGTATTGTCCAGAAGCAAATAACCGCTACTAAAAGACAATTACCTGGCAGAGCAGTGTGCTGGTGAACACCTTCGGTGAGAAGCATCGGCAAGAACATCCAGGGAGTAAAGGGGAGACAGGGGATTGAACTGCAGGAATGAATAAGACTATTTTAGTAAGGCTTACATGAAACGGACCTGATCCTAAAGGGTAACCTACATTTGATTACTTTTCCCCTTTGACTATCCAACTCTTGTTATACCAAACACAGGCACTGTTCAGTAAAGTCACACATATTTCATAGTTTGCCTATGAATGTACCAAACCTGATCTAGCACACCTCGGAAAAAAAAAGCTATTCCTTATTAAACAACAATTTTTCAAAAACTTCTGACATACAATAGTCACTTAAATGGCAGAAGACAGTTTTTTCCACATGATATAACAGGAACTTGTGCCTGCTGATTATCAACTATGTATCAGCCCTTGTTCCCAAGAAGATTAGCATGAAATTACCTTTTCATTTCCTTATCCTGGCAAATGTTTCCAAGAATAACCGGTTGACACATAACAGCAGCATAGTATTGTGGAAAGAGAACTAGACTAAGAATCAGAACACCTTTTAGTTCCAATCTACCACTGAGATACTGGGTGTTAAAAATTACATAACCTCTGAGCTTTACTATCCTTATCTGTTAAATGAATATATCACTATCTGTCTTACCTAATCACTCCATCACCTAGGCTGGAGTGCAGTGGTGTGATCTCAGCTCACTGCAACCTCCACCTCCCGAGTTCAAAAAATTCTCCTGCCTCAGCCTCCCAAGTAGCTGGGATTACAGGCGCCTACCACCACACCCAGCTAATTTTTTTTTTTTTTTTGTATTTTTAGTAGAGACAGGGTTTCGCCATGTTGGCCAGGCTGGTCTCGAACCCCTGACCTCAGGTGATCCACCTGCCTCAGCCTCCCAAAGTGCTGGGATTACAAGCATGAGCCACTGTGCCAGGCCTGCCCTACCTATTTTACAGGGTTATTATGAGGGCTAAATGAAATATTGCTTTCAGAGTATAATTTCAGTTTCTCATCTGCAAAACATCTATTTGACTTCAAAAGGTGGCTGTGAGGATCAAAGGAGATCCCTCACTTTATGTTTGCTAGCTTTCTTTGGACTTTTCCCACAACATAACAGTCCTCTCTAAAAAGTTTAGAACTTAATACCCTCTGACATACAAAGACTGGAAGAACCCGGAATGATAACTTCAAACTTGTTTTATGAGAATACAAACTAAGCAACTGTTCTATCTGCCACAGAGGTTCCAATCTTGGTTCTATTAGCTGTATCACTTTGGGCAAATAGTTTGAATCTTACAGATCTCCAGTTCGTCATTTGCAAATAACGGATCTGGATCAGGTGACTGCCACAGGTCCCCTTCTGCCTTTGGATCCTCTGATGCAAACATGATTAGTGCTCTAGCTTAGTGTTCCCCAAACTGCAGTCTCTCACATACCACCTTCATGACTTTCCTTATCTGCCTACAACCTGTACTACTGTTTACTTATTATTTTTCCTCATATCAATTATTTTTGCTCAGCTTTGTCCTTACTATATTTCCGTGAAATAACAGGCTTGATACCATAATTACATCTTTTCCAATGTACACTATAATACATAACTTAAAAATTGGGCATCTATATGCCATCTAAAATCATCTCATACATATACACCAGTTATGTCTTCTACCACTCTAGTTCATTTTGAAACAGCAAATTCATAATGAAGATTCCAAGTCTAAAATGTGGATCGTGTATATCAACTCAGTAAGCTACTAAGTTGTTAAAAAAAAAAAACAAAAAAACCCACAACAAACAGGAAGCCTACAACTTTTCACCTGTCAGTGTTCATCTATTTTACAACTAATCACCAAGATAATGCAATCCTCCAAAAAAATCACAAAGCTTCACACATAAAGAAACATATCGATAACCACTGTGAGTTAATTTTTAAATTGTGAGCCCTCCACATGGGCCTAAATATGCCAAGGGGCCCCTCAGGGGGTAGCCAGGGAAAAGACTAAGAAGGAGAGGCTCTAAGGCAGGGGTCCCCAACCCCGGGGCCGCACAGCAGGAGGTGAGCTGTCAGCAAGCAGCTGCTCCCCATCGTGGGCATTACCGCCTGAGCTCTACCTCCTGTCAGATCAACAGCCACATTAGATTCTTATAGGAGTGCAAACCCTACTGTGAACCGAGCATGAGAGGGACCTAGGTTGTGCACACCTTATGAAAGCCTAATGCCTGATGATCTGTCATTGTTTCCCATCACCCCCAGGTGGGACTGTGTAGTTGCAGGAGCACAAGCTACATTATGACCAGTTGTATAATTATTTCATTATATATTACAATGTAATAACAACAGAAATAAAGTACACAATAAATGTAATGCATTTGAATCATCCCAAAACCACCCCCCTCACCACGCCCCCAACCCGGGTCCATGGAAAAACTGTCTTCTACAAAAATGGTTCCTGGTGACATAAGGTTGGGGACCACTGCTCTAAGGCTTTGACCCCACTTCACCCAAAGCAGCTCTACCTTCTGCTCCATACGTTTAGGCTTCAACATAGTACTTCTCAACGCAGGATTCTGATGTTGAACTAAACCATATGCAAATCAGATTCATTCTGCTTTCTTACTGCAAAGTTCAAAACTAAAATAAAAACAGGATTCCTATGAAATATATGCTACAAGAAACTAATGATCACAGTTGAACCTACAAAGAGGAATTAGCTGCAGTTTTTACCAGTAAGTGTTGGATACTCTTAGAAAACGGTTCTCCAAGAAAATCAAAATAACAAGAAAGAGGAAACCTTACCTCATGTGCACAAGCAGAAATGTGAGGAAAATCAGAAGCCAACGCTTTATTCTTTCTAAAGAAAAGGAAACCAAATGATAAAATAAAGATGACAAAGAAAAATGATCTTACCTGATTTCGTTCTCTTTTCCCAGCTGATGGTAACCAGAAACTAAAGAGAGGGAGAGAATAACAGGAAAGAAAACAATAAAAGAAGTGATAGGAAAATTACAGAAGGGAGAAGAAGATAAGATGTTGGAATAATTAAGTAAAGACAAAGAAGGGAATAGAGAAAAGATGTAATCAGAGGAGGAGAAAGAGATTAAATGTATGTGAATGTTTTGCAAAAACAAAAACAAAAAAAAACCTCTTCAAAGGAAAAAGGCTTGTAATGGAATGTAAAAGACTGAACAACAGAAATAAACCCAAGATTACACTGTGACACCAATGATCTCTCAGCTGTGCAGTGACAAGAGTCTCAACTCATGAAGGGCATAAACCACACCCACATCTTTATTTTCTATGTAAAATTAGCCCGAGTTGGATGTGTATAGGATCATAACTGGGTACTGACCATGATGCATACAAGATATATGAAAGAACCAACCATTTTAGGGGACAAGGCTGTCACAAGAATTGGCAGAATTATTTTCCTGTAGCTACATACAGGCTTCCTACAGCACTCACCACAGTAATTAGAACAAAAAGATATTTCACAGGTTGGGCGCAGCGGCTCACACCTGTAATCCCAACACTTTAGGAGGCCAAGGTGTGCAAATCGCTTGAGCCCAGGAGTTCAAGACCAGCCTGAACAACATGGCTAAACTCTGTCTCTACAAAAAATACAAAAATTAGACAGGCGCAGCAGCATGCGCCTGTAGTCCCAACTACTCAAGAGGCCAAAGTGGGAGGATTGCTTGAGCCTAGGAGGCAGAGGTTGCAGTGAGCCATGACTCTGCCACTGCACTCCAGCCTGGGCGTCAGAGCCAGACCCTGTCTCAAAAAAACAGATATTTCCCTATGAAAAGGTCTAAAAATGGGAAGAGAATATAGGAGGATAGAGGCAATCATCCATTTTGGAAAAAAAAAAATTTAGGGACAGAAAAATTAGTTTAAAATAAACATCTTTACTGGAGGCTACTAATGCAGCATCTGTAGGTATAAAAAAACAATACAGTGAAACTAGTCTAGAAAGGAAAAGAAAATCACTGCCACAGGTTTAGGATGTTGCCATATTTAACTGTTACAACGTACAAATCTTTAAGATCTCTTTGAACTCTGAAGCCTGATTTCTAAGTTGCTCCATAAAACTCCCCTCTGCCTCCTCCTCCAAGGAGCAGACTAGCACAGCCAGTAAATACATAAGCACTTACTCTTTCTGCCGAGGGTCACTAATGATATGGCTTATCCTCTCAGTCCCCAAAGTGTTTATGCTGGTCTCCTAAAAAGAAAAGGCAGACAAGAGTATCATCCAACCACAGAAACAAACATATAAAGTACAATATCAATCTTTCCCATAACTGTGCCAGCTAAGGCAACCTCAAAAGGCACATGTTAAAAGTCAATCTTAAAATAAAACAGCAACTATACTTCTTTTTATTGGAATCCATCTTAAAAGTATTACATGTTACCCTACATTTATTATTCTCCAGTGATCCAAAAGTCTTTATAAATACATCATAGACACTGTTCACCATATATGGTATTTTAATAAGTACTATACCTCCTGTAACTACTGAAGTATATAGGAGTAAAAATCCTTTTTTAGAAAATTCAACAGTAGCCAATTTTTAACAGGCCAACACACCAAGCTTCCTAGAGAGCTACGTGATTTGATTATAGTTCCAACAGCCTTCATCCTGGGACATTACCAAATCCTCACTGGTAAAATGTAAATATCTGCTGACTAAATATAAATACATCAAGAGAATTTTGTGACTTGCAAAAATTGTTACTCTGTACTTTGTCCCTCAAACATCATCTCATGAAATAAAAATAGAAATTTGTATAAAATTGATTCCTAAATTCAGGGTTCTCAAGATTATAGTGTAAAAGCTTACCCATAACACCACAAAGAGTTCAGAAACGAACCATTTCCAAAAAATTGGAAAACGGCAATTCACTCTTCATTTAACTTGAGTACATTCACAATGCTTACCTACCATGGCACCTGGGAAAGCATACCAACACACATCTGAGTAACTGTTGTGTTGAGAGAACACAAGTCACGGGCGTGAATGCCAAGAACATCAAGGCTGTTCTTCAAACACATTTGTGTCTATATTCATCTATGTGTGTGGACCGTGCTAAACATCAGGCTACACATTTCAGCAGAACTGGCTGTAGAAAAATTACTCTGAGGTCAGAGTCCGGGCGGTAGTGGAGTTAAATGAGAAGTTTTCATATACTATATTCTTCATGTTCTGCATTTCTTATAGCTATGCCTCCTGGTCACAGACAGACATGGTAGGGGGGCCAAGGGAAAAGATGGGTGAAAAATGAGCTATTTGTTACAGCAGAAAAATTATTAACTTAAAGTGCCGTAATGTTTAAATTTACAGTTTATTACTGTGTAAATTACAAGCAGTACTTTGTGTAATTAGCAGCTCACTGGCAGGGAGCTGTGAATGAAACTCATTATTTATGATTACAATTTAGAAAAGCAGAAGAGAGATGGGGGAGGGGGAAGAAGGGGGGCAGAGCGGTGACCTCTTCTAGAAATGATAAATATCCCTTTAAGGTGATGAAGATGAATTAAACAAGTAAATATTATCCTATTCATTTGAAATCATTAAAGGCACATCCAACAGGCCCTCACTCCCTTCCAGGCAAGCTAAAGGGAAACCTTCAAGATAAAGTGACTTGTTTCCATGGAAGTGGATGGCTCTTATTTTATAAGAGCTGAAAGAAAGTAACACAGGTGGCAGGGGGAACATTATCTGTCAAGCCTAAACAATAAAAGTAAAACCTCTCCTTCTTCCACCCCATGTACTGCTATTCTGCTAGCTATCCCTGTTAACAATAAGCTCCCAAAACAGAAAAAGCAGCGTTTTGTCTGTAAAATGAGTAATTTGAAAGGTATCAGTTTTCCAATAATCAAATGTCTTCTAATTCAAGATTTGAACTTGAGGCCGGGCACGGTGGCTCATGCCTGTAATCCCAGAACTTTGGGAGGCCGAGGCGGGTGGATCACCTGAGGTCAGGGGTTTGAGACCAGCCTAGCCAACATGGTAAAACCCCATCTGTACTAAAAATACAAAAAAATTAGCCAGGCATGGTGGGGCGCCTGTAATCCCAGCTACTTGGGAGGCTGAGGCAGGAGAATTGCTTGAACCTGGAAGGCAGGAAGTTACAGTGAGCCGAGATCGCACCATTGCATTCCAGCCTAGGTCACAGAGCGAGATTCCATCTCAAAAAAAAAAAAAAGATTTGAACTTGAATTTAAAGATAAAAAGAAATAAGAATCTTGGGCTCGTCTGGAAATAAACAGTCTCATTTCTTTTGCATGCTTAAAACTTCAGAAAACTGTTCCCTGGTCAGACTATAAAACAGTATCCCCTTAAGGGAAGCCAGACTGTGGCACATATTGTGCCACCTAGCAGGCATTCTAAATGCTTACCAAGTGAACAAACAAATTAATGCTCTCAATGCCTCTCCCTTCCTTATTCTTTGCCCACCACCATCTTCTCTGACTGAGGATGAGCCCTGTCTTAATTTATTCCTCAATCTCAAAGTAGAGTAAAAAATAAAATTCAATAAAAATGTAAAAAGATAAAAGTAGACCTGGGTTCAAATCTCTATTCTACCATTCCTATCTGGGTAACATCAGACATTCCTTAACTTCTTCGAACCTAAGTTTTCCTCATCTGCTGAAGGTGCTTGCCCTTGTAGGTTGCTGGAAGGATTAAATGAGCTGAGTCCCTAGTACCATCCCTGGCAAAGGCAGAACTGAATAAACAGCAGATAGTTCTCCCTCATGGCCAAGGAGGGGCTCTTGAAACTCAGTAACAGTTTTGTTTTTTTTTTTTAATGAATTCTAGGATGAAAGACCAAAATTAGGAAAGAACAAAGATGCATTCATGAATTCAAGAGGAGTCATAAAGAAGCCAAGAGTATTTTAACTTACACAATAATAACATAACATTAATCAAAAGTTACAGAAGACACAGCTCAGGCTTGTAGGTTTACAGGCAATAGACACTGTAATGACAGTGTTTTTTTTTTTTGTCAGTACTTCTATATGAATTACGTTTCATCTTTTATTTGTATATCCATTCACATTCTACATAATGTTCACTCTTGTAAACTCCCAACACATTCCAGTTGGCTCCATTAACTTCAGGGAGTTCTGTAGCACCTCTGATTGTTAATAGGATACACAACTCCCATAGGGAATATTATCTCCCCACTGAGCCAAGCTAACTGTGAGAGGTATCACCTTCCCAACCAGCCTTCTTCGCCCCTTTCTGAGGCATCGAGCTGCAGCTCCAGGTAGACGATTCAAGCGAGTATGGTACCCTAAAAAAAGAAGGAAGGCCTCAGATACCGAATGCAGAAAATCCATATGCAATCCTATGTTTCTAGTACACTGAAGGCTTTACCCCCAGGATCTTAATAGATTGACCTTTAAACTAGCATCACAGAGCTATTTGCCAAGGATTTATTATTCCCAGGTCTTTGTCACTAGCAGTATGATCACAGGCATGCCATTTACCTTTGACCTAGGCATCCTCCATCTATAAAAGAGGGATAATCACTCAGTCCTACCTTACTGGGCTGTTTTGAAGACCCAATGAAATAGCAAGCAGAAGGGACTTTATAAACTGAAAACACCACACAAACATAAGGTACTATTAATAATTTTTAATTTAAAATTAAATGTTAGTTTGTACGTCAAAAACATTCTAATTCATGACATAATGGGGAAAATAGCACGTGTCGGATAACCCAATTTTTCTCACTGCTGCATGTGTTCTACACAAGGAAAGAACAACTGGAGGAAACCACACCAAAATGTTATTAATGAGATTGTCTCTGGATATGAGATTATAGGCCATTTTAAGTTTCTTCTCACTATTCTTGCTTGTTTGTATATATTTTAAGTGGTCCATTAGAAACTTTTAGAAATGTTCATCAAAATGTTCAATAAAGCAATGTGTGCCTCAGCTAGTCTTTACCAAGCACCAACTGCTGGTTCGCCATGACAAAAATTCACCATGACAAACAAAAATTCACCATGACAAAATCCTACATAATACAAGTTTACATCTCGTAGTGTGATTCTGATCACCCACAGATGTTCAACAAACTCTTGGCAACTGATTAACTGGTTGATTATGGGTTACTGGGAACCCTAGAATCATAAATTTATAGTGCTAAAAGAAATGGTTTTGTCCAATGTCACATATCGTAAGTGATGACCCTGTCATCCCAGGAAAATGCAGTGACTATCACAGAGCTTGGTAGACAGTATCAGAGTATTAGCACCACATTTCCATCTCTCTGTCCTAGGTTCTTTCCACCCACTTTGCTACATCATAATTGAAGAAAAAGCAAAGGGAAAAGGAAACATATTTGTGTTAAAGTCCCAATAGGGTCATTAAAATAAAACTACTTAAATTATTTTAAAAGCATCCGTTTTAAAAACACCATTATATGTGAATACTCTTACTGAAAATAAGAATATGTATGTGAATGTTCTTATTGAAATCTGTTCTCTTCCAAAATCCGATACTCAATAACCTCTTAGTTTCACATCAGGATAAGCAGCTGTCACTAAATCTGGCACAAACGGCAATGGCAAGCTGAAGGAATCTCCTGATAATATATATGTCCCAGGAGTTTCCATGGATTAGTTTAGGAAGGAATGGAGAGAACCTTAAGCTTTGAGACTTACTTTGACTCCTCTAGAAAATCCTTGAGCTAGCTCCAAAATTCAGATAGTTAATGTGTGATTGAAGGCATGAGTATGCTTGCTAGGGGGTGATTGCTCTGCCCAAGGAGAACCATAAAAGCATTAAGTTCTTGGTCTCCTCAGAACTCACCTCTTTGAGCTGGCCGAGAAGGTAAAAGGAATGTGGAATCTGAAAATTTATCCAATCCAGAATCCATTCTTTCTACTTCAGAACAATGATCAGGAGCCCACTTGGGCAGAAGATTAGGGACAGTGAATCCTGGGACACATTCTCCTTCATAGAACCAATCACTCTGTTCGTCATCACCTAAAGTAAAGACATCATATCATAAGCTAGAATTTTAAACAAGGTCTGAGAAAAACAAATGGGAGGGATGATTTCTTAGTGCCATAGTTTTGATCATCCTTTTTTTTTTTTTTCCTTTTTGAGACAGAGTCTTGCTCTGTCACCCAGGCTGGAATGCAGTGGCGTAATCACATGTTCAGGCAATCCTCCCATCTCAGCCTCCCAAGTGGCTGGAACCACAGGCTCATGCCACTATGCCTGGCTATTTTTTTATTTTTTTGGGGATGGATTCTTGTTCTGTTGCCTAGGCTGGAGTGCAGTGGCGTGATCTTGGTTCACTGTAACCTCCGCCTCCCCTCCCGGGTTCAAGCAATTCTCTCTGACTCAGCCTCCTGAGTAGCTGGCATTACAAGCGCCCGCCACCATGCCTGGCTAATTTTTGTATTTTTTTAGTAGAGACGGGGTTTTGCCATGTTGGCCACGCTGGTCTTGGACTCCTGACCTCAACTGATCCACCCGCCTCGGCCTCCCAAAGTGCTGGGATTACAGGCGTGAGCCACCGCGCCCAGTCTTTTTTTTTTTTTTTAATTCTCTGTAGAAACTGGGTCTCCTTATGTTGCCCAGGCTGCTCTTGAACTCCTGGGCTCAAGCAATCCTCCCACCCACCTCAGCCTCTCAAAGTGCTGGAATTACAGGCTGATTATACTTTTAAATAAATCAAGGCATTGTTCTGGTCCTTCTTGATTCATTTTACAATGAAAACTGGAACACCAACCTGGTTTCACATAAATGTCATACTGTGTTAGACTGGACCGCTTTAATAGCTAAAAATAAATAAATAAAGCTACCACTCACTAAACCCTTACAACCTACCAGGATCCATGCTAAAAATCTGTAAATATGTCATCTCTTCCAAGCCCTACACTAACTCCAACTTACAAACAAGGCAACTAAAGCCTAGAGAAGTCAAGGTCAATTTAGTAAACAATGAAGCCAGGATCTGAACCCAAAGCCTGACTAACTCAAAAGCCTGAGATCTTTATTACAAAAACAAACTGCCTCCCCTATACCATTCTCAGTGGTATAAACTTGGAGGTTCAAAACCCATAAATGTTTCTCAATTCAAAGCTAGCTATACCTGAGGGATTTCTTGCTATATTTGCCTTTATCATAAAAGGTGAATAAAGAATATATGTCCATACTTCATTTATCGTTGGTATCTCATTAATGGGACAGAAATCATCTTGACACTAGAAATCCAAGCTACTGCGGAAAAAAAAAATAACCACAGCAACAAATAACATAATCCCCTAAGGCTTTTCAATAAGTTATACCATTTTCCCAAGGCCATTTGTTAATTAACAGCAAAGTCACAACCAGATCCATATATCCAGACTGTTGGTAGTACAAACTTCTTTCTACTGGCTATAGTGATAGTATCTCAGTTTCCACTAGAGTTTATTCCTGCCAACAAAGAATAGATAATTGTATGTCTGCCACCACATACCCCTTGCAAAATAGCAAAATTGAAGGAAATTATTACAAGAATATCTAAAGAGTTCATAATGTAGTCAGTCTCTAATGTACACTGGATTCCAGACAAGTTGCTCAGAAATGTCAATCCCATGAAGTATGAGATTCATGGGTCATTAACACGCAGGATAATAACTCTTAAATCACTGTGGAGATCTCCAAAATGGGCAATGAAAACTGCATTCTGGTGAAAAGCAGGAGATATTACAACTAAGAAAGTTACTCAAAGTGTTCCCTTATAAAAACACACCACAAACAGCTGTCTCTCTTACAGTAGTTCTCAACTTTGAGCATGCATCTGAAGCAGCAGGAGGGCTTGTTAAAACATGGACTGCTGAGCCCTTACTCCAGAGTTTCTGATTCTAGTCTGGGCAAGACCAAAAATGTGTATTTCTAACAAGTTCCCTCATGATGCCAAGCTGGCCTGGGGACCACGTTTTGAGAACCGCTACTCTAAAAGCATCTCACGAAACCAGATACATAGATGAACTGAATACAGGCATTAGTGTATAATAACTAGTTTCTCTGTACTTCAATATATTAATTCTTTTCTTATTCATAAGCATTCCTTAGGCCATTTATTGAAATAGTATATTTAATTAGGCCATGTTTTCTGACGACAAATGGCAAACTATAATGGAATTTTTTTGGTTCTCAAGCAGTCATTCAAGATTTTTAATAATACAAAAAGGGACTCCCTGAACTAGAAGGAACGTTGTGAGACCACATAGACCAGCAGTCTTCAATCAGGGTTCACTAAGATGCCTGATAGAGGAGCTCCTTAAAAGAGCGCTGCCAGGGAATAAGCAAGAAGCTAGGTGGATCGGGCTCCTGACCTCTGGCTCCTCTAGAATTTTGCTTTAAACCAAATAGGCTTAGTTGTTTTACAATCTGAGAATCTATGTTCGATTTTGTTTGGGGGAAAAAAAGGAGAGTTTTCCCCTTAATTGGATTATAAATAATTATTTATTAAACATTTACTATATGCCAGGAACATGCTAGGTACTGTGGTTGCACATAATAAGTCCTGCCTTGAAAAGCCTCAAGGGAAAAGACTCGTACCTACAAACAATAACATAATCTAGTGAGTAGTAAAAGAAACAGTAAGTATAATACAAGGAGCCACAGAGAACAAAGGAGAAAGGGCTATTGGCCAGAACCCCCTCAGCAAACACATGGCACATTTAAATGGGGTCATTGCAGAGATGTAATGAAGTGACTATTCACAAAGGTGGAGACAGTACTAACAAGGAACCCCACAAGGGGATAGTGAAGCACATCAGGTGGAGCCAGCACAGCAGGAGGCCCTTACCATTCCTAGACTTGGAGTGGCAAGGGAAAGAATGGTTATCAGAACCCAAAGAACTGTGGTTATAAAAGAAGGCTGCCAAACAAGAGTGGTGGCCCTCAGCAGAGGAACACAACCACTGCCAACCAGCAATCCAACAGAAAAGGTGTCAGGGAAAGCAATAATCTAATGTGGTAGACTGCATTAGCATTTCCAAGTACTCTCTATAGCAGAATCATCCATCCATGACGTTTGCTCTTTGCCATTGGATTCCACAGTACCTTCCCTTTTAGGAAGAGCACACTTACTCATCCTACTGACTCTGGGCTTGGTCATATGACTTGCTTTACGTAGTAGAAAATTAACAGATATGATTCAAGCAAAGGCTTTAAATATGTACTTGTGGTCTAGCCTGGTCACCTGGCATTTACATCCTCTGCCATAGGAAGTCCATGCCGCCTATCATCATTGCTCCTCCACCCTAGGTCCCAAAATACAATACACTGAGTAGATGTAAACCTAACTTGAAGCCTGTAGACCAGTGGAGCCCAGGCAAGATCAGTGGAACCACAGACAACTCACAGCCCCATAGCAAGAAATGAGTATGGTAAACTGTGAGAAGCCACTAAAATTTGGGGGCTGTTAAGCAGCATTACCACAATAAATACTTGACTAATATATCCAATATCACTCACCTCCCTCCCTTTGGTCTTCTGTTGATGCCTCCTATAGGCCAACCCCAACAAGAAATTGAAACCAAGAAGACCCACTGATATAGTTCATAAATATGCCCTTGCAGGGGCAAGAGGAAAACTGTGTCTTGGTAGATGACCAGTCATTCAAGGAAGATGAGGATGAGATTTCAGGCAGAAAGACCAGCATAAACAAAGGCAGAGAAGCAAGAAATCCCATAGCTTTACGTTGAGAACGCTAAGCATCAATGTCACCAGAATGTGTGAAGCTGAAGCAGAGAAAGAGAGGAAAGCTAGGTGTACAGAACATTCTATAATCTCTCGTGATAAACTAAGGAATCCTTATCAGTGAAAAGGCTTTCCAAAGGCCCGAAAATCTAATCTGCTGTAACAGGTCCACACTTTCTTCCATCTCTATACTTATGCATCATAGCCTTTAAGAGGTGCATTTTGATATTCTTAGCACTGTAGAAAAGCAAAGAAAAAGAGCAAATATTGGTAACTCTGAATAGTATATATAACTCATTCATGGAAACTCATCAGACTTTCCTGGTATAATAAAATCAAAACTCTAGTTACAGCCTACCTGTACACACACACACATAATCTCTAATGACACCTAATTCCCTCAGAATCTAAAAGATAGAAATGTACTCACAACAACCTCCATTACAGTAGGAAGCTCAACAACTCCAGGAGGATAAACTGCCTCTATGCCTACAACTTCGAGGCATGAACAAGATGCTGGCCCCACAGTCCTTCTCCAAAAATCAGGACTTGGATGCTAAGTCTCACAGCCCCAGTATCTCTTCAGTTACTGGGGAGCCTACTTGGATCAACCTAGACATGTAGCCACTACGTCTGTCCTTTAATTGCTTAACCCGTGGAGAAAAATTATTGGACTTCGGAGTGAGAAGAGACTTTAGAAATCCCTAAATCCCTTATTTAGATTAAGAAAACCACAGTCCAAAAAGGCTACATAAAATTTTTATTGGCATGTGGCCCCACACAAGTCTAGAGGACAAACATTTTCTAAAATACCCTTATATATAGGCAAAGTTTTAAATTAGTGTTTAGGTAGTAAAAATAAAGAACTGGTAATTAACTATACCAGCCTTATTCACAGGACTCTATACTCCAGTTTTACTTTGAGGAAGATGATGTTTTATATAATATATTCACCTAGGACACTATAATCATTTATAAATAAGGCTACAAAAGTGACAAGATTTTCTCTATATGAAAATAATGTCTTAACACCTAAAAAAAGACAGTAACACATGAACCTATTTCTTTATTCTAATAAAAAGAAACTTCCCAATGTCCCAGGCTCAACACTCTGACCACCTAGACCAATGATTCCCAAGTCTGATCTACTGGCATAAGAATCACTTCAGGTGCTTGTGAAAAATGCAGATTCCAGGGGCCAACTCTAGACCTATTTGATTTCTAGGAGCTCAGGACTGTGCAGTTTTAACAGTTCCCTAGGTGACTCTCATATGCCTTAAAGTTTGAGAACCACTGCCATAGACAGTCACCATATTCTCCATGAGTCACTCCTATGATTATTCAAATATTTCCATAAACACGGAACCAAGGTCCCAAAGCTGGGATCGACATTACCTTGTCGCCCTTCATCATTGGTAAAGAGCCCAGTGTCACTGCTGCTACACACACTGCTGGTTTCACTGTAAAAAGAGTAAAACACAAGAGAACTCATCAGCTCCAGTCAAAAACAAAGCACTGTACACTTATTTTGGTTTTCAAGCTTCCCTAATTTCACTCCAACCTGTTAGTCAATCAGATATGTAAATTTCATCAGGAAGCTACAAAGTTTTATTTTCCTCCCCAAACAAAAGAAATATAAGAGGAGAATTCTAAAATTTTCACTTATATTTTAAAGTACTAAAAAAATCTAAAGTCACTTTGTTAGTTTAGGACTAGAAAGCTATTAAAGCTCAAAGACGTAATCTCAACCTAGTTTGGTATATTCAACAACACAAATTTACAAATTTACCAAACAATTTTATTCTCAAATATTGCCAACTATCAGTTTCAAATGAAGCTATGTAATTTTAAGACATCTAGCATCTTTCAAGTTTTCCCCCATCTACAAAGAAGTAAACAAAAATCCATGAACAAGAAAAAAATATGACAAAACTTATGTTTTCTGAATTTACTGTCCTCCTTCATATCGAGCAGATACACAAAACTCATTCTGAAAAAAGGAACTAAAGTTAAAAACAAAAATATAAAAACAAACTTAATTTGAACTCATTGAAATATAACTTTTGTCCCACGAAATTCTGCCCAGTTTCATTTTCTGAGCTATTGCTCACAGTTGATTTTGTTTCTTCTCATGGTGTGCTTCTAAATTTGATTTATCTGGTTCAAGAAAAACTTCTCAATCCTCTACAGTATTAGCTATTTCTTTGATTGGGATTATTTCCTTCCAAGAGAGTCAAAAATTTTTTTTTCACCTACTCTAGAAGATGCAAGAAACCAAAGCAAGGAAGAAGCATTTTCACCATGCTGTAGAAAACACAGGCTTGGCAAAATCCCAATCTATATTCCTGGATCAAAAATCTGAAAATATTTTGTATTTTGCAACATTTCCAAATGTCCTTCCAACACTAAATCTTAAAAATGCCAATTAAATTAAGGAGCAATGCTTTCCTCACTCAAGCTTGTCTCTGAATACCAGATGCAAAAGATCTGTCACAGAAATAGTCAACAAACAAATCCTATTTCTTTTTTTTTTTTAAGTTCTGGGATACATGCACAGAATGTGCAGGTTTGTTACACAGGTATACATGTGCCATAATGGAACAAACCCTATTTCTTCTTTTTTTTTTTTTTTGAGATGGAGTTTCGCTCATTGCCCAGGCTGGAGTGCTGTGGTGCGATCTCGGCTCACTATAACCTCCACCACCCAGGTTCAAGCAATTCTCCTACCTCAGCCTCCCAAGTAGCTGGGATTACAGGCGCGCACCACCACACCCAGCTAATTTTTGTATTTTTAGTAGAAACAGGGTTTCACCATGTTGGTCAGGCTGGTCTCGAACTCCTGACCTCATGATCCGCCCACCATGGCCTCCCAAAGTGCTGAGATTACAGGCATGAGCCACCGCACCCAGCCCAAACCCTATTTCTTTATAGATTCTTTCATTTTATTCTCTTATGTGCTTAGTATAAGTTGGGCCTCCAACTGTATTACCTAATTATTATAACATTGCTAGAAAGGCAACTGAACCACATCCAACTGAAACAACAGAGTTAGTGTAAAGAAAGTCATCTTAACCTGCAGCTCCAAAGGCTTTTGCTCCCAACATTTTACTAGGAAATTCTTCATCACTTAGATTCTGCAAGTAACATTTTGCTTTCCTTGTTTTTTCACATCTCTCTATCTAACCTTCCCACCAGAGCCTCTTTGAAAGCAGAGGCACCCTAGGTAAGCCAGATGATTGGACATGGCATCTACTTTCTGACAAGTATATTATCATAGGAATCAAGCCTAATAAAAGACTATGGAACCCTCTTGTCCACTGTTAGCTAAACGCTGTAAACTTGGTACTGACTTGAAAATGCTTTCATCTCAACTGCTTTTCTTTCCAAGTTCTGAAGATGAACTGTTTGCCTTTCAAGGTACAATTAAAGGGTATGGTTTTCAAACTAGCAAAAATTCTCAGTTTTAAAACTATAGATCAATAGTTTTTTATTCTATATTCTTTTTTTTATATTTGTATATTCTATCTATAGATCAGTGTTTTGGTTGTATTATGTTCTGTAATTTGAAACTCATACTTACTGGTAAAAGCAGAGTCAATAAAGTAAAGACCCAATCTCAGTACCAGAAACATCAAGAACTACGGTTCTCAACTAGACACAATTTTGCAGCCCCCGTCCCAATTTGGCAATATCCAAAAACATTTTTGATACTCATGATTTGAAGCAGAGAAGGAGGAGTTGGTGAACTACTGATATTTAGTGAGTGGAGGCCAGGGATGCTGCTCAGCATCCTGCAATGCACAGCACAGCCCCACAACAGAGAATTATCTGGCCCAAAATGCCAGTAGTGCCTAAGTTGAGAACCCTGATCTATGGTGATGAACAAAGCAGAGGGCTGGGAGAGGTAGGGCGTCCCATTTAGGGAAACTACTTGAGAAGAGAGGAGCCTGTGCACGTTAGCTGGATGCAGCAGTCAACATCCCATAGAAGCAACAATACCACTTCCTTGCCAGGGCTGGGCCAGGGCCTCAAATGATCTGAAGCCTCCAGATCCAGAAACAATCAGAAGGCAGCCGGACCTTCAGACAAACTGGTAGAACTGAAACTACTCAAGAGTCGTACAGTTCACCCTTCCTTGCCTAACCGGGGCAGAAAGAAGATCCAGTAACCATGGAAGAGAATGATCTGGCCAGGGAAAAAAAATATCTTGCTCATCTCAATGTCCCCAGTGCCTAACATAGCACCTGGCACATATCAGACATTCAGTGAATGTTACGTAAATAGAATGAACTTGTTCTAGACACCTCTGTTGCCTGCCCTTATATGGCCTTGCGGCATGTCACTTCAACTCTTTAGTTCTGTTTCCCTACATGTAAAATGTGGATGGATTATTGAGGATGTGATAGTATGAGGCATGTGACCCCGCTTTGTGAACTCTAAAGCAATACACAAATGCAAATGATGAAAGATTAGAAAGCTACTTCTAGGGTACCAAGTCTGTGTCTAAATATTATTTTAGAGGTTAATAGTACTAATTTCCTCACTGACAACCTTCTCATTAGAACAGCACTCTAAATTTTATAAGATGCAAACCTATCTTCATTTTAAATGGAAAAACAAAATGTGGCCTATGAAATCTATTATTTTTCCTGTACTGGGATTCATCCAAAAGAGAGGAGGCACTACTCTCAGCCAAGATCTACAAGTGCCTCAGGAAGGGGTTTGATACTTGAACTGAGTTTATTCAGAAAATTATTAATACAGAAGGCTATTATTAATGATACCAAAAATATCACTCACTGAGTTCTACTGCAGGCCAGGTAATATACTAAGCACTTTATATTAATTATTATGCTGCTTCTACCCCCAAACTCCACAAGGTGAATACATCAACCTCATGTTACAAATGGAAAGGGGCTTAGAGAAAGTATGCAAGTTACCCAAGATCACACAGCAAGTAAGCATCAGAGCCAGGGTAGTGTATGCCTAAAGCCCATGCGTTCACTGAAGGGCCACTACAACACAGATGGTGCAGATACTCATCTCATTTACTAAAGTCAATCCTATGTTTCTCTATGCAGAAGATACCTTTGAATTTCAGGACTGTTCATTCTCCTGAAGATGCAAACAGATTAATTGAGCTAGGGAAGAAGTGTTCCTTTGCTTTTAGCTACTTAAAACTTTCAGGCACAGCTGAAACTGTAGCTGTGCCTTGACTACTATCCCTTATCAGCAAATAATATATCATATATGCTGAACCCTAAGAAAACTAATTATAAACTCACTTTGGAAAGAAGCTCTCCTCCTTAATGCTGTATCTTGAATTTAAGTAACACTCATTTTCAGCATACTGACATAAAATACACCAAAATATACTCTCAGGGACCCATACCTCACTTGCCCTTATGGTTCCTGAATGATCTTCCTTTGAAATCAAAGTAAAAACATCCTCTTAATGAGTTCAGGGGAAATATCAGTCTGAGAATACTATTCCTGACTTTAGCATCATACAAGGCTAGGAAAAAAAAGTTTCAGAAAGCCAGTAGTCATCTGTGGTAATTAACCAGACTCCCAAGATGACTCCCAATTACCCAGCCTCCTATTAATGCACACCCCGGTGTAGTACTTCTCACACTGCACCAGGATGGTCTGTATAACTGATCGCACACGGCAGAAGCAATAGGTTGCCACTTCTGCAATTAGGTTATACGAGACTGTGGCTTTCATCTTGGGCCCTCTTTCTGACTCTCCCCACCCCTCTCAGATCACTTACTCAACGGAAAGCCAACTACCATGTCCTACAGATGCGGATGGGCATGCGGAGAGGCCCATGTGAAAAGGGACTGAGACTCTAAGTCCAATAGCTTTATGAGGAAATGAGCTCTGCCAACAGCCATGTGAGTGAGCTTGGAAGCAAATCCTTCAGCCCTAGTCGAGCCTTGAGAGAACTGAGGTCCCTGCCAACAGTTAGACTATAACCTCGTGAGAAGACTGAACCAGAACCATCCAGCTAAGTCACTCTCAGATTCCAAGCGATAAAGTATTCATTGTTTAGAGCTCATAAGTTTTTTTTTGTTTATTTTTTTTGAGACGGAGTCTCGCTCTGTCACCCAGGCTGGAGTGCAGTGACGCGATCTCGGCTCACTGCAACCTCTGCCTCCCAGGTTCAGGCAATTCTCCTGTCTCAGCCTCCCAAGTAGCTAGGATTACAGGCCTGTGCTACCACGCCTGGCTAATTTTCATATTTTTAGTAGAAACAAGGTTTCACCACATTGGTCAGGCTGGTCTCAAACTCCTGATCTTAGGTGATCCACCCGCCTAGGCCTCCCAAAGTGCTAGGATTACAGGCATGAGCCACCGCACCCGTCCTAGAGCTAGTAAGTTTTAGGGCAATTTTTTCTGCAGCAACAGATAATACAGAATCTTTATAAACTCTTTGTTGAAATTAATTCCCTTCTTCCTAAACAGTAGCTTCTAGTTTCAACAAAATAAACCCCTCTGAATTCCCAAAATTGCCAGGGGGAGCAGGGGGTGGGAAAAAAGCACAGCACACCCTCTGATCTGAGAGCTTGCTAATTCTTTCATACTCCTAACCACAGAAGACTGTAAAGTGAGAACTGAAAGAGTAACTTATACCTGTTCCAATTATAATAAGGAGGTACAGAATTACTTTATCACCTACAATCAAAAGTTGGTATTAATAAATTACCATCTGGGTTTGTTTCTCCCCATTTAAGAGCTTATTAACCAAGTAGCTTAATAAGAGGTGTTTTTTGCATCTAATTAATAGATATCTTAAAGTTTATGGCTTACATCGTCATTCTAAAAAACTTTTCTTAGTAAATAATAATGCACTTAACAAAAATAAAAGTTGTTTCAGAATTTAGAAAAACGTGGAAAAAAGTCACTCTTAGATCTACTGCCCAAAGGTATTTTTGTTCTATCGTTTTCCAGTTTTTTTCCAGGGTAGAGGTGGCACACTGGTAACCCTTTGTAATCAGACTTCTGAATCTAGTAGTAAACAAGACTGAGGGAGAGGTTATTCAGAGAAATATCTCACATCAGTTCTGAAATTATTCCTATAAGTAATGAGAATATATAATAAAAGAATTTCTTTTTCAGTTTCATTCAGACAGTGCCATGAAAGGCAGCAACCTCCGCAGGTTGACAGGTTCGATACTGTGACTAGTACAATCAGGTATACTTTGCAGAGACAGAATTTTCCTCAGGACTCTGCTATTGAGCTGGGGGCTGTGCCTCAGAGAAGTCCACCCATCCTTTCAAGACTTCCCTTTTCTTAGAGCTAACAGTGATTCATCTTCAGGTAGATGGAACGTCTTCTCACAGTAAATTTTTAAAGAACATGGATTCTGGGGCCTGCATATCTAAGAATGTCTGAGCCACTGCACCCAGTCTTCAACCCCTTTTAAGATTTTTCTTTCCTTAGTCTTGAGCATATGTGAAAAAAAGAAAAACTAAAATAAAATATTTTTTTAAAATCTCCGTCTCAGTAGAAGTCTCTTCTCATTAATTTTCGCTTTTAATCTTAAGACTTAATTTTTCAACTCAAGAACACTTTTTTCTCTTCAGTTGTATCTTCTTCTCCAGCACTTTGGTTTCTTCCCTGGGAATATTTACATACTCACAGACTTGGTCTCTTTGTTTAGAGCTACTAAGTTTTAGGGCGATTTTTTTCTGTAGCAATAGAGAATACAGATGGCCTATTGCCAAGATTTCCTCAAACTACAAGGCTGATAGAACCACACTTGACAATGAAATGGAGGCCCACGTTAGAAGTGCTGAGCCTGCCCTGAAGGTAGATAGCAAGCCCCTGCATCCTTTCTCTACAGTCACCTTGCAGTTCAGAAATGCAAGGCCAGTTTCAGTCAGAAAATCAGGCAGCTACAGGTTGAGGCAGGGTGTGGTTCTATCCTTCTCTTCCCATTGAGCATCATTCAGTTTCTTTTTTCTTTTTTTTTGAGACAGAGTCTCGCTCTGTCGCCCAGGCTCGAGTGCACTCAAGTGCAGTGGTGTGATCTCGGCTCACTGCAAGCTCCGCCTCCCGGGTTCACACCATTCTCCCGCCTCAGCCTCCTGAGTAGCTGGGACTACAGGCGTCCACCACCACGCCAAGGCTAATTTTTTTGTATTTTTAGTAGAGTCGGGGTTTCACCATGTTAGCCAGGATGGTCTCGATCTCCTAACCTTGTGATCCACCTGCCTCGGCCTCCCAAAGTGCCGGGATTACAGGCGTGAGCCACCACGCCCGGCCTGAGTATCTTTCAGTTTCTATTTGGTGGCTCTAACTCCCAGAATACACTTGGATAGGGAAGCTTAGTGTTTTCTGTGTGTATTTGTGTTTGAGGGTAGGAAGCAGTTATAGGGTATTGAGTCCTAGAAAGTATAGTCTTCAAGAACAAAGATTCCAGTTGACATGGGCAGAGAAGTGCATTCTGGAGACAGTACATTCTGGAGACTGCAGTGTTTTCTACACCTTCATTTACGGCACACTCCTGGAATGGGGTCAGAATCAAGCAGTGAGGGTTAGATGATCCTATCTCAGTCCAGCATAGCTGTATGAGATAAAAGCCTCCCAGTAGCACTGGGAGCACTGGGCTAGGGGCTCTGCATATTCTCTTGGCCAGCTGTAGATCTGAGAATGGCAGTTACCTATGTCCACGGGAGTAGAGAAGGGGACCAAGGGTAATCTATGCACCCTTGCTGGCAAATACCAAGAGGCCTTTGAACAAATTCTGCGAAATAAGAGAAAAGGGAATATCATTCTAAAAGTTGAGAGAAAGAATGAATCTTTGAAGATGACTGCCAGTGGGAACCACAAGAATTCAAGTGGGCAGTTGAGGCTACTTACCAGTTAAGACATTACAATGGTGGGAAGTAGACTGTGACTGAAAAGAATCGCAGCATCTCAGTGTTACAAGGGATCTCAGAAGCCTTCAGTTCAACCTTCTCAACTCCACAGCAACTAAGTAAGCGGTCATCAAGCCCATGTTTGAATCCCCCCACCTGATCTAGAAGTTATTACGCATTACATGGTGAAACAATTCACTTCATTTTTACAGAGTCCTAATTTTTAGAATCTTATTTTTTAACCGCAGCAACATTTAACACTCTGTACTCTCTATCCCTGAGTTCTGTCCTGTGGAGCCACACAGAACAATCCCAATATTTCTTTTAAGAGGTAGACTCTTTTACGAGATGGATGTTTCTTTCAAGAGATAGACCTTCAAGTACAATAGTATCATATCGACCTCCCAAGCTGTGTGTTTTAGTTGTCCCTAAGGATACTAGCAGAACTGTGAATATACCCACATAAGCACACTATGCTAGCTATTCGAGAATCTCACATGCAATACTACCAACTGCAACAATGGTAAATATATTCTTGGTCAGCATCCCTACTTACAGAATAGAAAACAGAACACCCCCACCTACCATACATATTCTTTTACACAGCTCCAGGAAACCCTGATTAATGACCTCCACTTGCAAAGGAGGCTACTTACCTTAACCATGAAATAATGAATGCTATTGATCCAACAAGCTACTGCTATAGAGTGTTATTGATCACCCAATCTTTGGTTAAAATGGTCCTCATTTAGCAATTTCACTGTCACAAACACCTGGAGCAAAGCACACTCATAATTAAAGAGTTTGGGGGAGTTAAAGTGAGAGGTGATGGACAGAGATCTCAGCTTTCTCCCACTTATTCTTGCTTCTGAGCTATTGTTTGTATCAGAAGGGATATTGATTTTCTATAAAAATAAGAAAACAAGAGGCACCAAAGGGCCGCAGAAGGTCAGCCTGGGCTGGAGAAGGAGTGGGTAGGTTTAGCACTCTATCTCTGTCACTTGCCTTCCAAGAGAGGAGAATATTTTCTTTCCTGTGAGATCAGCCTCTAATACATCACCTTAGGAAGGCTCCTGAATGTGACCTCTGGCCATCACCCAACCAATTCACTTATGAAAAAAAAAAGAAGCTAAACTATATTCAAGGGGAACAAACAAATGATGTGTTAGTAAAGAATAGAGCAAAATTAGGCTACAGTCACCTAATAGCTAATAGCTATTAATAGTTGCTATACAGACAATTTAAATAAAGATCAGTAGAAAATAATTTTACAGTAGTTGTTCTGCTTTAGAATACTCACAAACACACATACACAGAAAAATATTAAAATAATAGTTTGATCTCTATGCAAGCAGAAAAAAACTACTATACTATAACCATTTTTAGTTCCTCAAAACTTGTGAGGGATTGGCTGGTGTAATATTAAAGGAAGACCAGAAACAGAAAAGCAAACAAATATTGATGAAGTCTATACTCCATGTTTAGGTCGCAAAGAGTGAGTTTAAGGAAATTAGAAATAAGCTGATTGAGACACACATTTTCAAATCTAAAACATCTAATACATGCTTTAGAAAAAAAAAACGCTACCATTGACTAGGCTAAGCTAAGCTTAACAATCAACTTCATCTTAATAATCTTACAATGTGGATCATTACTCTGACAACCCTCAATACCACTGCTAAAAAGTAAAATTCTACATTTTGATCTGTATGTGAATAAACAGTGGCACATCCAAGTAGATTTATGAAAGGGTAACCAAGAAGATTCTTGAAAGTATTTCTTTTAAAAATGCAGGGAAAAAATAAAGTAGAAAATTATTGACAGAATCAACTCATCAAGACAGTATAATATCCAAATCATATACTATTATCTCCTTACACTCTAATGCCAGCCCTTTTTAAAGGTGTGCCTAACAATTAAGGGAGATTTTAGTTCCACTCTCCTCTTGAAGAGAGGCTGAACACAACATTCAGTCAAAGAGTAAGAATCACCCCCTTTCCCCACAGAATGGATTCAGGGGGAAAAAATACAAAGCACTTCTGTTTGTAACTACAAATGAATCGAGACAAGTCAAGGGGAATTTAGAACTCCTAAATAACTAGAAGATTTTAAAGAACTTTCCTCAATGCCGTGTGTGCCACCACTCCGCCCATTATTCCTTCACAGCTACAACCCTTTAGCATCTACATATTGAAAGAACTCTGAAGTGAGGGGCCAGGATAATAGCCCAAATGGGTGAATGAGTTCTCCTCAATTTGAAAAGAGTAAGAATTTCATAAGAATTCCCATCCACTTAAGTTATCCAGACTCTCAGATAACGAGAATTTACATTATTACATCCTGACTAGAATGTGCAATAGATGTGTCTGGAGTAAGAAGGAACAGAAAAGAGTGAAGCATCTCATGCTAGAAAACAGGCTCTGCATCTGGAGCCATACTTGGGCTGTTAGAGCAGACAGAGTTAACAGTCGCTCTCTCACATACAATTATGTCGTAGTTTAACAAGAAATTAAGGGGAAGAAACATACACAAAGCTACTATCCCAAAAGGCTACTTTTAAAATCACCATTCTCAATACTAAGAAGACTTCTATTTGGTATATATGCTCAATATTAAAACAAACTTGAATGTCTCAATAGAGGGTTTCAATAGTGTGAAAGGCTACAAGTTGACTAAGCATTTCTTGTTTGATTAAAAATAGTCTGATGAGGGAAAAATACCTTTATAATCCAAATATATACATATAAATTCTGCAAATAGACCTTAGAAGGAATGAGGCATTAGAGGAAAATTAGGAAAGTCAAATTATGAGCCTATCTCAATATAGTCTGCAGACTGGCAAATATAAAGTTAATAAGAAAAAGTTTAAAAGCTGGATTAAAAACCACTCAAGAAAGGTACAGGTATACAGACCTAAACAGTTTTTCCTGTTACTGACACAGCCTCACCTCAGTGTTCCTAAGATTAATGTCTTTGTTTTTAAGCTAAACTTCAGAAAGGTCATATGTTCTACAGTTGGGAAAGTTAAATTGAGACAGAACAACTCAAAGGGCAGCACAACATGGTGGTTAAGAATGAGCTTTGGAATCAGGCTTGATTCCCAGTTTTGGCACTGGGTGATCTTAGGCAAATTATCTAAGCTCTTATAACCTCAACTTCCCTTCTGTAAATACAAATAGTGGTATCCACCATATAGTGGAATTGTGAACATTAAATAAGAGTATATGCTAAGTCCATAGTACAGTGCCTGGCCCATAGTTGAGTGCTTAATAAATGCCAACTAATATTAACAATAATAGAATACACTGGTTCTCAACTGGGAGTACTCAATCCACCTAGGGATCACCCCTGGAGGCCTTTGGGTTGATACAATGAAAAGGGGGTGTGAATAATGCAGAGATGCTAAATATTCTGCAATGCACCATAAAGAATTGTCCCATCCAAAACACCAATGGCATCCTCACTATTAAGAAAAAGATAACCACAGATTAATATTAATAACATTAAAGTATCAAGCTGGGGGGTATCAATGTTCCTAGGACTATCTGAGATGTAAAAAATAAAAAGTCACCAAAACTACACTTACATTTTTAAACATGTACCCATTAGAGACAAATTTTTCTGGCTTGATCACATCTGATGTAAGACTAATGGGACTCGGTACTGTTATTTTCAAAGCCCACCATGTGTTCAGACAATTTGAATGTCAGCCATAAAAAAATAAATTCAATATAATCAAACCACAAGTAGCAGAAAACAGAATTATAGCCAAAAAGCATCTAAAGCCATGATTCTTAATGAGGACAGGCAACTTAATGGAACATTTATAAACTCCGTATACCTGGCGCTAGCATATTCTCTCTCACACACACACACCAGCCTCTGCTGAGACCTGAGTTCTAAACAACAATATTTATGTATAAACTGTATGGCATAATAAGCAGCAAATTGTTTTTTAAAATAAAATTATTAGTTTTGCATTTGAGGTACGCGTTTTAAACAGTTTTTAGAAACAACTGTGTTTCTATTACATATAGCCTTCCTGACAGAGGGAAATAGACTCATGAATGGTACCTTAAAAAGCTAAACTACTGATTGATTCAAGGAAGGCTTCAAAGTCAATACTAGAGTGGCTGGTTTGAAAGAAGGTAGAACCCACTAAGACCATGGATGTGCACTTTGGGAAAAATTAACCAGGAAAATCTTTGACTTAGTAAGGGAGATCTCACCATTCTGACATGTTCTCATCAGAGCCCTGTTTTTGTTCATCTGTTTCACACTCCATCCTTTCTTTCCTTCCTGTTTTGCTTAGGAAAGTCCTATTTTCTGCTGATTCACACAATCCGTGGCCTGATGAGGTCCAGGGAGTATTCTCCTTCCAGCGGGACAGACGCTGCTTCTTAGCAGACTTGAACCTGCAGCCTCTCTCATAGCTCCAATCTGACACCTTCAGCTTCTGCTGAAGGCTAGCAGCCACCTCTGATGTCACTCGCTTCACCTTCCGCCTGCGCCTGAGTGGTCGACAAGGTGCATTTTCAGTAAAGGAGTCAGATTCATGCCAAGAATGTTGCTTACTCTTGACAATGGCATTGAGAGCTGGGTGTCGTTTGGCTACCATTGTGTCATCAGAGTCACTAAAATTGGTCACCGGAGCCACTTCTCGACAGTCCTTAGTGGCCTCATCCAGACTTGACTCAGAGGCCTCGCTGTAGCAGCAGGTATGCTCTGCCAGGTGAGTGAAGTCAGAACGACGCTTCCGACCTCGGCGTTTCCGAAGCTGCCGCCTCTGCTGTCGGGGGCTCAGCGCCATCTCCTCCCACAGTTCACCAAGCTTATTCTGCTCAGATGTCTGCTCCAAGGCTGAGGCTAAGTCGTGTACCAGCTCATCCATGAGGCCACATCTGCCAAAAGGAAGTTTAGGAAAAAAAGAAAGAAAGAAAAGAAAAAGAAAAAGAAAGCCTGAAAAAGGATCTGTTGTTTTGGAATAATTTGATGAAACAGATCATGGTAGTCCACAGTTCTGCCTGTCTAAACAAAATAAGTCACCTTTCATCTGGCTACACTTAGATTCTGTTCCTACCACTTCCTTAAGTCACTAAAAATAGATGTTTTGTCCCTTGTTAAATGCCTGAAGTCAACATATTCTTAAGCACAAAAACCTACTAACCAGAAGACAACTGGGACAGGACCCAAAACAAATTCGGGGGACTAGATCCTTCTCTCTTTTCCCCAATTAAACTTGTCATTGAATTACCTAATGATGAGATCCAGAAAGATTAGAGACTGTCTCACTAGACAGGAACAGAAAAACATACAACTTCAAAATCACACTAGAGTTGTGGAAACACAGAGTAGCACATGGTCTCATCGAGGTATTGAGAATGAATGAAAAACTGTTCTTTGGCCTGGGGTCACTGCTGACAATGACCATGGCAGAAAGAAACAGAAAGACAACTTAGTGACACCATTTAAGGAAGAATGCAGTTTTCGTGATCCAAGAAATTGTAGTGACCCAGGTTTGAAGTCAGAATGGAGAAGAGACTAAGTTTGCGCCCATTCTGGTACCAACTACCACCTGGAAGCTACCAGGTATAGAACCTTATACAGTATGTCATATATTTTTGAATAATTAACAATTTTTAAGCCCCTCTCCTACCCTCCAGAAAATAAATGTTGGTCCTAGTTATGTGCTTCAGTGCCACACAATCACAGAAAACTAGGATACAATAGCAGCTGAAATGACAGGGATAGGGTGAAGTTTCTAAGATTTCTGGCCAAACTGCTTTCCAAAATTTCTTATTTTTCTGTTCATCCTCAAACCAAACATCACACTTCAGGGGTCACTTCAGAGACAAACATTTCAAGAAATGACAGTAGTAGGAGCAATCTTCAAAATTCCCCCTTAAGGGGAAATATTTAATTTGTACAGCATCTAATTAAATACATATTAAATTTTTAGCACTTTTCTCTTGCCTCTATGCCCAAAGTATTTCAAGATCAGCTTAAAATTCTAAGTGGTGCCACTCTCTGACCATATTCCCATTCATTCAGTTTTCACTTTGCAAAGGGCTTTCTAAAACCTATTTTCATGCTGTGCCTATGCCAATGAACTTAAAGACAGGAAAACAGTCCTCTGGCTTATCTGCCACACCTGTAGGAGCAATAGTGACACCTACTTCCAAAACTACCATACAAACGAAGCTTCTCAAAGTGTCCAAAAGCACATACATTTAAACAAGACCAAGTTCTTTTAAGCATTAAGAAGTGGTTTATCAACACCTGTGAAAAGAAGGGGAAAAAATGGGAAAAAAAAAAGTGGATTAAAATGCCATGATTGAGGTTTGGGAGACAACTGTCCCTAAGACCAAAATAAAGAAACAAGTGGGAACAGCATGTCAAAATCTACTTCCCTAATAAAGAATTACTGCTTTAAAAACTCAGGCAACAAAAATACAAAAAACAAAAACAAAAGAACAAATAAAAACCTCAGGCAGAACAGCACAAACTTGAACATGGAACGAAGTCATCAAACAACTTGCAGTCGAATGCCTGTGCAGAATCCTTTCCTGCCTCAAAGCCTGTAATTCCAACAGTAGTGACAAAAGAACCCTAGAACTCCCCATCTCCAGTCGCGGATGCACACTCTCGAGAGGACCCGGCGGCCAGGCACGCACCCGGGCAGAGATGAGGCTGAGTCACGCACAGGAAGGAACGGGTAGCTGGTGGACAGCAAGTAAGAAGAGAGACAGGAGCAGGGTGGAAGTGAGGGGCGGAGTAGGAGGTGGGAGAGGCAGGAGGCAACTGCTCATTTGGGCTCACGAGGGGCGGGGATCGGCTCTTCTAGGGCAGAAACTGCCAAAATGCAAGTCTTGGCGACTGAGCTCCCTCCGGGATCGGGGGTCGCAACATGGCCACATATATGACAAAAACTGTGTTTCGAAGGACTCTCCACCACGCCCCGGCCCGTCCCTGAGGGCTGGGGCGACCATGGCTCGGGACACCAAGCCCTCAGGCTGCAGCCCGCCCCAGAGAGGCAGAAAGAAGAAAGGGGAAGAGGGGGCTGTGGCCCCGGAGACGGCCCGACCCACATCCCCAGGGATGGGGACAAGGGCCCTGAAAAGCAAGGCCCCACCACCCTCACCCTCCGGCCGTCTGCCGCAGCCCCAAGACGCCCTTAGCCGCTCAGCCGCGGCTTGGCGCTCCGATCCCCTCTGGTACTAGCCCCCAGGACCCCAACACTCTCAACCCATTCCTCCCCCTCACCAGCTGCCGCAGCCACCTCCAACGGCCGCCGCTTTTTGGGCCGACTCTCACCGCCGGGGCTTCCCTCTCTGACCTCATTTCCGGTCTGGGCCGGAGGGGTGGGGCGGTGGCGAGTGGGAGGGGCTGGCTGCACGATTGGGCCCCTGACCCAGTGCTTCCGCCCGTGGCCACACCCACTTCCGCCCCGCGGTGGGCGGAGCCACAGGAAGCCAGGAGATGGGGCAGGGGACAAGGAGGGGTGTTGAATAGGGTCTGGCCGGGAAAGGGCGTCTCAGGGGTTGAGGTGCCCCACGTGGGGAAAGACCCCTGCATGCTGGCCTCATCTTCCTTAGGGGCTTCCAGAAATTGGGCGCTAGGCAGGGATGTCAGCTTATCTCTTGCTTTCTGACCTTTTTAATGGGTCTGTGAAGTTGAGGGGAAATGGATCTTAATGACGTCTACCCTGTGAGCTGGTACAACCTTTGGAAGAGGTTGTTTTGCACTGAGTTACTCAGAACATTTCAAATTGCCTTGAGCAATAAAACAAGTGATATTGGATTATAACTCAAAGTACAAAAGAAATATTCATGAGCCCATGCCGATATAAGTGATTGAATAAATTAACGAATGAGGAAGAAGAGATAAATCCCCCACAGAAGAATCTCAAATAACTTATGTAGACAGCCATCCTGCAGCATAACTTCTGCCTCCTTAAATGTGGGCTGTGCATAGTGACTTCCTTCCCAAAAGTACAACATCTGTAAAGGGGAAAATGAGTGATTTTACAGGGGAGAAACCTGGCAAACAGTAATTCAGCCAGGTGATCAAGACTATGTGCTAAATCATGTTGATAGTATGTGGAATGATATATGATGAGAATGGCACTTTATGGTACTTTCCTTCCAAATCTCATAACCCAGTCTAATTATAAGAAAAAAAAATCAGACAAACCCGAATTGAGGGACATTCTGCAGAGTGCATGACCAGTATTCTTCAAAATTGTTAAGATCAGCAAAGGCAAGGGAAGTCTAAGAAACTCAGAGCCAAGAGGAGCCTAAGGAGGCATGACAATGTAATATGGTGTCCTGGGTGTGACGCTGCAATTGAAAAAAGAACATTAGGTAAAAACTAAGGAAATCTGGATAAAGTATCAACTTTAGTTAATCATAATGTATCGGGCCGGGTGAGGTGGCTCACGCCTGTAATCCCAGCACTTTGGGAGGCCGAGGCAGGCGGATCACCTGAGGTTGGGGGATTGAGACCATCCTGGCTAACAGGGTGAAAACCTGTCTCTGCTAAAAATACAAAAATTACATGGGCATGGTGGCACGTGCCTGTAATCCCAGCTACTCGGGAGGCTGAGGCAGGAGAATCACTTGCACCTGGGAGGCGGAGGTTGCAGTGAGCCAAGATCGCACCATTGCACTCCAGCCTGGTCTACAAGAGTGAAACTCCGTCTCAAAATAATAATAATAATAATAACGTATCAATATTGGTTGCAATTGTGAGATGTGTTATACTTCTGTAAGAGTGAATAGCCTGGTGTGGTGGCTCACACCTGTAATTCCAGCACTTTGGGAGGTTGAGGTGGGCGGATCACCTGAGGTCAGGATTTCGAGATCAGCCTGGCCAACATGGTGAAACCCCGTCTCTACTAAAAATACAAAAAATTAGCCAGGTGTGGTGGCACATGCCTGTAGTCCCAGTCCCTACTCAGGAGGCTAAGGCAAGAGCATCGCCTGAGCCCAGGAGGCGGAGGTTGCAGTGAGCAGAGATCGAGCCACTGCACTCCAGCCTGGGCGACAGAGTGAGACTCAGCCGTCACAAAAAAAAAAAAAAAAAGTGAATAATAGGAGAAAGTGTGAATTACACAGAAACTGTAACAATCTTCATAATTTTTATCTAAACCCAAAATTATCCTAAAATAAAAAAGTTTATTTAAAAATATGCACATACCTTGGACCCTGAAATTTTGCCCCAAAGAATTGTATTCTAAGGAAAAATTGGAAATGGGCGCAAAAATGTTAAATATAGGTAAATCATCTCTGCAGCATTTCTGAGGGAGAGATGAGGAAACTAGAAAAAGCCAGAAGTTCTACAACAGGGGTTAGTTAACTAAATTATGGTACATCTATGGGTGGAATATCTTGCAACTTTTAAAAATTAATGTTGCAAAAGAATATTTAATGACATGAAAAGCCATCGACTTATGATTGTGTACATTTCTGCATGACTGTTATACTTCAATAAAAAGATTACTCTAAAAATGTAGAGTATGATTCCCATACAAAGGAAATTAAATCTATACTCGCAAAGGAATATGACCAGAAGAAGCCACCATACAATATCCGAAATGGTTTCATTATCAATGATTATATCTCCTATCTATTGTTTTTTGTGGATTTTCAGAATGTTCTATAGGTGAAAAAAAGTCAAGGTAGGAGACAAAGATAGCTGAGGTTTTGAGCTAGGGCAACTAAGACAATGGTCAGTGCCATCTGCACAGCTAGAGAAGTCAAGAAGATAAACGGGTTTAGTGGAAAGATGATTAATTCCATTTTGGACATGCTGAATCTGTGACTCCCACAGGACAGAAATATGGAAATGTTCAACAGGTGTCCACAGCCTTAGGCCTCTTTTCTGCATAAGTGAAAATTCTCTCCCACAAATCACATCTGTTCCCACGGTGTTGATTGCCTGCATCAGCACTGAAAGCTCCCAAATTTCTTGAAATCCAACTTATATTTTCATTTTTCTACTAGATAGCTCCACTTGTTCACCTCACCAGCATTTCCAATTTAAAATGTCAAAAATAGGCCAGGCGTAGTGGCTCACGCCTGTAATCCCAGCACTTTGGGAGGCTGAGGCGGGTGGATCACTTCAGGTCAGGAGTTTGAGACTAGCCTGGCCAACATGGTGAAACCCCGTCCCTACTAAAAATACAAAAAATTAGGCAAGTGTGGTGGTGGGCGCCTGTAATCCTAGCTACTGGAAAGGCTGAGGCAAGAGGATCACTTCATTCCAGGAGGCAGAGGTTGTAGTGAGCTGAGAGCACACTGCTGCACTCCAGCCTGGTGACAGGAGTGAAACCGTGTCTCAAAAATAAATAAGTAAATATAATAAAATGTCAAAAATAAAGCTTAGTTTCTTCCACAGTTTCTTTCTTCCTTCCTTCCTTTCTTCCCTCTCTCCTTTCCTTTTTTTTTTTTTTTTTTTTCCCAGACAGGGTCTCTGTGAAATGAAAGACAGAGTGAGACCATGTCTCAAAAAAAAAAAAAATTGGAAATGGGCTCAAAAATGTTAGATACAGGTTAAATTCTTCTCTGCAGCATTTCTGAGGGAGGATTGAGGAAAGTAGAAAAAGTCAGAAATTCTACAACAGGGATTAGTTAACTAAATGATGGTACACCTACGGACAGAACACTGCAGTGGCATGATCATTACCTCACTGCAGCCTTGACCTCCTGTGCTCAAGTAATATTCCCACCTCAGCACCCTAAATAGCTGGGACTACAGACACATGCCACCATGCCCAGCTAATTTTTAAATTTTTAGTAGAGAGATAGGGTCTCCACTATGTTGCCCAGGCTGGTCTCAAACTCCTACCATCAAGTGATCCTCCTGCCCCAGCCTCCTAGAGTGCTGGGATTACAGGTGTGAGCCACCTTGTCCAGCCTCTTCCATAGTTTCTATCAAACCTGCCCCTTCTCCACTGTTCACTCTTTGGAAAATATCGCCACCATCATGCAGTTACCCAGGTGAGAAGCTTCAAACCCATTTTTAGTTCTTGTTTCTTTCTTTTACCCCTTTATCTAGCAAAGTGCTAAGCCCCGTAGATTGCACTCCTGCAGTAGTCTTGCATTTGTCCTCCCTCATTGGTTTTTGCTCTGCCATTGGCCTCATCTGGGCAGGTAACCACTCTTCTGGGTGATGCAGCAGCTGCCTTACTGGTCTTCCCACTTGCAGTCTCTCCCCCCAAAATGCCATCCTCTACCCAGGCACCAGAGTGAGTTTCCTAAAACACAATTTTAGTGGTGTCATTTCATCCATCTTCCACTACCTCCTGCATCATGCTTGAGCACACCATATCACTTGCTAGTTCTAGAACACCCTTGGGATCTGGGGTGATTTAAAGGCTCAATTCCAATGTCACCTCAAGAAAGACACTTACCCTTGCTTGCCCACTCCTTTGGCTCTCATTCTGAGCACTTGCCGGTAGCTTTATGACCACACTCTCTTCCTTCAACCTGAACTAGAGCCAATTATGTGCAAGTTTGCCTCCCCAACTAAGTCACTCATTCAACAAATATTTACTAAGCGTCTACAATATGCCTGGCCCTGTGCTTATATGTATATAACTATGTGAACCAAACCAAAGCCTACTGCATTGCCCTGAAGACCCTGTCCTATTCATTGTATTCTCATCAGTGCCTAGCACAGTGCCTTACACATGGTAGGTGCTCCATAGTTATTGTTGGTTAAAAATTAAATGAATACTTGTTTACTAAATGCTGGGTCAGGGACATTAGAAGTGCTTGTCTCAGTCCCATGAGAAAATTGTAATGAAACTTCCGCCTTCATGGGATGGTGGAAGCCATGGGCAGAATCACATAATGAAAGAGGGTGGTGAGAGAAGTGGCCTGTTGTGGAAGAAGAGGACAGCTCCAAAAAGACTGAAAGCATCTGAAGAGAACCTGTGTCTAAAAGCCAGAGGAGAGAGAGTTTTAAGAAAATGAAGAAGAAAAGGAAGTTTGAAGATGAGCAGTTCTGAGGAAATGCCACCACACTTGGCAACTGAGGAGGTCACTGATGGTAATAAGGCCTGAGCAGGCTGCAAGCAGGCAGCAGTGGAGGAGGGGGAAGGAGGTGAAGGGTGAAGCCCTAACTGCCTGACTGTGTCCAGAGCTAGAAGCTTCACTTCTTTGAGCCTTTGCTTCCCTATCTGCAATATGGAGACAATATTTGTACATATCTATCTCTTGGATGGAGATGAAATGAAATAATGAATGTAAAGCATTTAGTACACAGCCCAACACAAATTAACTGCTCCAAAAGTATTAGTAGTTACTGAAAAGAGGGGAGTAGTCAACAGAAGTTTCCCTTTTTTGACCATCAAACGTAGTCGAATGAGGAAATTCCCAGCTGAAAAAGAATCTGCACATGGAAGGAAATAATAGGCTTCTCTCACCTCTTTCCTCCCCACAAAAATGTATATATATTTTTTGAGATAGAATCTCACTCTGTCACCCAGGCTGGAATGCAGTGGCACGATCATGGCTCACTGCAGCCTCGACTTCCCTTGGGCTGAGGTCATCCTCCCACCACAGCCTCCTGAGTAGCTGGGACTACAGGTACGCGCCACCAGGCCGGGCTAATTTTTGTACTTTTTGTTTGTTTACGTGTTTGGGGTTTGCTTTTTGTTTGTTTTTTTTTGTTTCGAGACAGTCTCATTCTGTCACCCAGGCTGGAGTGCAGTGGTGTGATCTCAGCTCACTGCAACCTCCGCCTCCTGGGTTAAAGCGATTCTTGTGCCTCAGCCTCCCTAGTAGCTGGGATTACAGGCACACACCACCACACCCAGCTACTTTTTGTATTTTTCAGTAGAGACAGGGTTTTGCATGTTGGTCAGGCTGATCTAGAACTCCTGACCTCAAGTGATCTGCCTACCTTGGCCTCCCACAGTGGTGGGATTACAGGCGTGAGCCACCGCGCTTGGCTGTTTTTGTACTTTTTGTAGAGACAGGATTTCACCGTGTTGCCCAGGCTGATCTCAAACTCCTGGGCTTAAGAGATTTGCCCACCTCGGCTCCCAAAGTGCTAGGATTACAGGCATGAGCCACTGTGCCCAGCCAAATATATTTTTTAAACAAATAATTAATAATAAATAAAAAATCTTCCACTGCTGATTTATTACATTCCCTGCACTTATAATAAACCTAAAGTCCTCACTATGGCCTGCACAGTCAGGTATGATGTGGGCCCTGCCTGCCTCTGGTCTTGACTCTCTTCCCTGTGCCCACAGTACCAACCCACCATGCTCTTTTTCCACCTTCCCCAGGGCCTTGACATGCTGTCCTGCACCTGAGAGCATCATTGAGGCCTTGGCTAAAATATCACCTCCACAGAGAGGACTTTTCTAATAGGATCTAAAGTACTTTCTATCTCATCGTCCATTCTGTGCAGCTATAACAAAATACCATAGACTGGGTGATTTATAAAGAGCAAAAATGTATTTTCTCATAGCTTCTGGAGTCTGGGAAATCCAAGATCAAGGTGCTGGCAGGTTTGGTGGTCTGATGAGGTTCACTCTTTGCTTCAAAGATGGTGCCCCGTTTCTGCATCCTTTGGAAGGGAGGAATGCTGTGTCCTCACATGATGAAAGGCAGAAGGGCAAGTGAGCCAACACTCTGTAAAACCTCTTTTATATGAGCCTTAATTCCATTCATGAGGGGAGAAGCCCGCATGACCAATTACCTCTTAAATACTCCACTTCTTAATAAAATCACATTGGCCATTAAGTTCTAACACCTGAATTTTGGAAGATACATTTAAACCATAGCACCTGGTATATTTCCCTTATGGCACTTATTATAGTCCAACTTCATCCTATTTCTTTGGTACTTATTTGTTTGTACTCTGTTGCCTCCCACCAGGATGTAAGTTTCATAAGAATAAGGACGGTATCTGTCCTTTCACCTTTGTATCCCCCTGGAACCTACAACAGTGCCTGTCACATAGTAGGTGCTCAATAAACATTTGATGAATGAATGGATTCCTCATCCTCTCTCCATAATTTATTTCCATTTTCCCCTTTTCCTGGCTCAGATCTTCTCTGAACAGATCCAAGACATCTGGAAATCTTTCCAGAAAGTTTTTCCAGCAGCCACTGGAGAGATGTTACTAACAGAAACAGTGTCCACCAAGGAGGACAGGAAGTGTTAGCATATACTTGGAAAGTGAGTGACACCTGGCAACTTGTCCGCCTCCCCTACCCCTGGTACTCCTGGTGCCTTCTCCTTGGGATTATAGGAACCTTCCCTGGAGGCAGGAATGCAGGAGTGGGGAGATGCTGAGCACTCCTTGGCAGCAGTGATAACAGAAACACATCTCCTGTAAAGCACACCAAGAGGGGGACAGTGAGGGGTTGTGCTGGGACCCAGGGCAGCAGCCAAGGAGCAGGTGGCAGTAGACAGAGGTTCGCCAACTCCTCCCTTGCCACGCCTCCCATGCTCTCTCACTTACCCTCCTCAACTCTGTTGAATTTAGGGATTTTGTTGAAGTAGCATTTACTAAAAGCTTACTGTAGTCCAAGAATCATGCTGAAGACTAGATTCAGTATTTCATTTAATCCTCTCAATAACCGTTTTGATATTCATGGCTATAGCACCTATAATAAAGGACAGATTAACAAAAGCAAAGCATACAAATTTATTTAAGATAAGTTTTACCTGACACAAGAGCATTCAGAAATGAAGACATTAAAAAACAGGGAAACTGTATTTTTATGGACACTCATTCAGATGTATGATTGCAGAAAAAAGGATATGATCTAATGGTAATAAACTCGGAGAAACTTAGCAAAGCCCATTTATTCAGATTCTTTTTGGTGTCTTTGCATCTTTGAGGATAGGGACATTCTTCTTCTCCAGGTATAGGGAGGATGCCTCTGGAATGAGGGTCCTATGACCTATTTTCAGGGAAGGTCAACTTGGTTTTATGGCCCATTACAGGGGAAAGGAAGTGAGAGAAATTCTTTTTAGTTTCTATGGGCTGTTTCTGCTATTTCTTCTATGGCAAAAGTGCTATATTTAGGAGTAGTGTGTCCTGAACCTCACCAATTTTCATATGTTTTACTTTTACATATGGCAGAAATCCTGCAATACATTTATATTTCTTTTCTTAAACAGTCAATTATTACCGAAAGAGATTTTTTTAAAGAAAAGATATTTTACAGTTTCATAAATACCACTTTTGGTGCTTTTCATTCCTTTGTATATCTCATGATCTCTATTTGGTATGATTTTCTGTCTGAAACTTTTTTTTAACATTTCATGTAGTTCTTGTACATTTGTGATAATTCTGTCAGCTTTGGTTTCTTGTAAAGTCTTTATAATTGTCTTCATTTTTGAAAAACGTCTTTGCTGGGTATAGAATTCTATGTTGACAATGTTTTTCTTTCAGGACAGTCATATGCTACATGATGACGTTTTGGTCAATGATGGACTGCATATACAATGGTGGTTTCATAAGAATATAATACTGCATTTTTATTGTATTTTTTCTATATTTGGACATGGTTAGATACACATATACCATTTTGTTACAACTGTCTACAGCATTCAGTACAGTAACATGTTGTACAGGTTTCAGCCTAGGAGCACAGGCTATCCGTCAATGTGTTGCAGGCTATACCACCTAGGCTTGTATTACTAGGTTCTATAATGTTTGTACAACAAAATCACCGAACGACGCATTTCTCAGAATCTATCCCTATTGTTAAGTAACATGTGACTGCACTTTAAAGATGTTGCTCTGCTGTCTTCTGGCTCACATTATTACAAAGATTAAGTCTGTTTTTCTTCTTATCTTTTTTCCTCTATACATAATGTCTTTGTACTCTTGCTGCTGTTAAAATTTCCTCTTTGGCCAGACACGGTGGCTCATGCCTGTAATCCCAACACTTTGGGAGGCCGAGGTGGGTGGATCACCTGAGGTCAAGAGTTCGAGACCAGCCTGGCCAACATGGTGAAATCCCATCTCTATTAAAAAATATGAAAATTAGCTGGGCGTGGTGGCACGTGCCTGTAATCCCAACTAATTGGGAGGCAGAGACAGCAGAATTGCTTGAACCCAGGAGGTGGAGGTTGCAATGAGCCGAGATTGCACCACTGCACTCCGGCCTGGGTGACAGAGCAAGACTCCATCTCAAAAGAAAAAAAAAAGATTTCCTCTTTATCACTAGCTTCAAGCAATTTGTTTATAATGTGAGTTGGTGTCATTTTCATAATGTTTCATAATGTTTCTTGTCCTTGGAATCATTGAGCTTTTTAATCTGTGGGTTTATAGTTTTCATGCTTTTTGCTATTATTTCTTAAAATATTTTTCTTCTCCCACTTTTTATCTATGGGCATACCTTGTTTTATTGTGTTTCGCTGTTTGTTTGTTTTTTTTTTTTTACAAATTAAAGGTTTGTGGCAACCCTGTAAACCCCGTATTGAGCAAGTCTATCAGCACTGTTTTTCCAACAGCATGTGCTCACTTTATGTCTCTGTGTCACATTTTGGTCATTCTCACAATATTGCAAATGTTTCATTATTATTATATCTGTTGTGGTGATCTTTGATCAGTGGCCTTTGGTATAACTATTATAACTGTTTTGAGACACCATGAGTTGTGACCATGTAAGATGGCAAACTTAATCAATAAATGTTGTTTCTGTTCTGACTGCTCCACTGACTGGCCATTCCCCTGTCTCTCTCCCTCTTCTCAAGCTTCCTGATATGTTGCCCAGGCTGGACTCAAATTCCTGGGCTCAAGTGATCCTCCTGTCTTAGCCTCCTGAGTAGCTGGGACTTTAGGCATGCCCCACCACACCCAGCAGCAATAAAATATTTTATAATTAAGGTATGTACATTGCATTTTTAAATATAATGCTATTGCAAACTTAATAAACTACACTATAGTATAAACAAAAGTTTTTTAGCCAACATGTCCAGCCAACAAAACTTTTATATGCACGGCCAGGCGCAGTGGCTCACGCCTTTAATCCCAGCACTTTGGGAGGCTGAGGTGAGCAGATTGGGCTCAGGAGTTCAAGACCGGCCAGCACAACATGGTGAAACCCTGCTGCTACAAAACAGAAATATTAGCCAGGCATGGTGATACACGCCTGTGGCCTTAGCCACTCAGGAGGCTGAAGTGGGAGAATCTCTTGAGCCCAGGAGGCTGAGGCTGAGCTGTGACCATGCCACTGCACTCCAGTCTCAGAGACAGAGTGAGACCCTGTCTTAAAAAAACAAATAAAACAAAACAAAAACAAGCAAACAAACAAACATTTATATGCACTGAGAGATCAAAAAAATTATGTGACTCTACTGAAATATTAGTTTCATTGCGGTGGTCTGGAACTGAAACCACAATATCTCCAATGTATGGCTATGTTTCTGGAACTCCAATTACACATATATTAGGTCGCTTTAAGTTGTTCATCTGCCCTTCCTTCCTTCCTTATTGTTTTTCTTTTTTGTTTTTTAGGGATTTTTTTTCTCTGTTTCATTTTAGATAGTTTATACTGCTGTATCTTCAAAGTCACCAGCCTTTTCTTCCACAGTGTATAACCTGTTATTTATCACATCCAATACATTTTTCCATCTCAGACATTGTAGTCATATAGAAGTTAGATTTGGAGTTTTTTTGTTTTTGTTTTTTTGAGACAGAGTTTCACTCTTGTTGCCCAGGCTGGAGTGCAATGGCATGATCTCGGCTTACCACAGCCTCCACCTCCCCGGTTCAAGTGATTCTCCTGCCTCAGCCTCCTGAGTAGCTGGGATTACAGGCATGTGCCACGAAGCCCAGCTAATTTTGTATTTTTAGTAGAGACAGGGTTTCTCCATGTTGGACAGGCTGATCTTGAACTCCTGACCTCAGGTGATCCACCCACCTCTGCCTCCCAAAGTGCTGGGATTACAGGCGTGAGCCACCGCACCCAGATTTTGGAGCTTTTTCATATCTTCCCTGTCTCTCCTTAGTATGCTCATGGATTTTTCTACCTTATTAAACATATAAAATATAGTTATAATTGTTATAATTTAATTTTCTACAAGTCAATCATCTACTGGTCCTACTAGTAGACTACTAATCTTGACTACTAGTTCTGTCATCTGTGTGATTTCTGGGTCTGCTTTATTGATTGATTTATCCGTATAAGTGTATTTTCCTGCTTCTCTGTGTCTCATAATTTTTATTGTTTTCCAGATATTATTAATTTTACCTTGTAGGATTCTGGAAATTTTTGTATTCCTTTAATTGTTTAGGTGCGAGGGTAAACACAGTCCCTGTTATTCTATTAATGCCTAAAGTGAAAGTCTTAGGTCTTGTAGTACACTGAGAGTCTTTTACTGGCTGGAACAACTGGGGTAAGGATTGGGAAATTGCTCCAATTCAGCAAGTTCTGGGCCTTTTATATTCCCTCTAAATTATGTTAATAAACTGGTAATTTTCTTCTTCAGCTCATCTTTCTCCTAGTACCTTATCAAATTCAGTTAGTAAGAGCCGTTTCATCCTTTCAGCCTTCTACCTGGAAATCTCATTGCTCAAATTCACAAGTTCATTAAGTACTTCTATCTTCCGAATTACCACAGACAACAGTTTGACCTATTATTTCGTTAGACATAATATGGGTCACCTTCTTTTCTAGCCTACTATAGTAATTTCCCTTCCTTCCTTCCTTCCTTCTTTTCTTTCTTTTTCTTTTTTTCTTTCTGAGACAGGGTCTCACTCTATGAATGGCATGATCACAGTTCACTGCAGCCTTGACCTCCTGGACTCAAGAGATCCTCCCCCCTCAGCCTCCTGAGTAGAGTAGCTAGGACTACAGGTGTATACCACTGTGCCTGGCTAATTTTTTATTTATTGTGGAGGCGGGGTCTCGCTATGTTGTCCAGGCTGGTCTCAAACTCTTGGGCTCAAGCAATCCCCCCACCTCGGCCTCTCAAAGTGTTGGGATTACTGTGCCTAGCCAGTTTCTTTATCATCTTTTCTAGCCTCTACTTGCTTTCTAATCCCAAAGCTAGTACTATATGTGTTAGAGCTGGTTTTGGTTTTGGTTTGGTTTATAGCAATGCCTGATTTCTAGGCATCAATTTAATGCTTCATAACAAGTCACCCTAAAATTTAGTTGCTTGAAACAGCACTCACTTATGACTTCTCGTAAGTTCATATGCTGGCTGGCAAGTTCTCCTCATCTGGCCTAGGCTTGGCTGATCTTAGCTGGGCTTGCTCCTGCATCTGCAGTCAGCTGGGGACTGGATGTTCTAGGATGTCCTGGTCTGGGACAACTTAACTGTCTTCCTCATGTCTCCCACATGCCTGAGATAGATGGCATAGTCATGTTCTCATGACCAGAGGCCAGCCCTAGTATATTCTCATAACCGTTGTAGGATTCTAAGAGAGGAGGCAGAAACACACAGCACTTCTTCTAGTCTCTGCTTGACTCAACCTTGTAACTGACATTGGCCAAAGCAAGTCAAGCGGCCAAGCCCAGAGTCAGTATGGAAATGCAGTAGCAAGAGGCGTAGATACACAGAGGCATGAAAAATCAGGGACGTTCACACAGTGTCTACTCCACCTGTGAAGTGGGTATTAGAATTAATATCATCATCCCCATTTTACAGATGGGAAACTGAGGCACCGCGAAGTTAAATGTCTTGCCCAAGATCTTAGCAAGGGGGTAGCTTTGAACCCAGGTGATGTGGCTCTGGAGTCCCTATGCTTTCAAGCACAGCGCTCTACCTTCCTCTGGGGACAGGCCCAGGGCATTCCAGGAGCCTCCAACCCATCTGGAAAATGGGTCATGCAGCCTCCTCTTGGAGCCCTCCAAGAAGGGCAAGCTCACCACCTGCCTGCCTCAGCCATTGCCCTCAGAGACAAAAGCCAAAGAAAGATCGGCAAGGTCTGGCTGCGAGCGGTCACCGGAGGAGGCCCCTGCCAGTCCCTGCCTCCCAGCCCTTAAGTGCCTGTGGCCGCAAAGTGAAGCCTTTCAGGGGTTAAAGGCAAGGAAGAGAGAAACAAAAGAAGGAATAAAGTCAAGAAATGTGCCATGAAGCTTCTTGCCGCGCAAAGCAGAGAAAGTCATTTCCAACTTCTTTCATCTCGTAGATGAAGCCACTAAATAAAGGGGCAAAGCGGCGAACACAAGGGCTTTTAATCTGTCTCATCTCCTTCATAATAACTGCAAATTTTCCCTGGGCCCCTGGGAGTGAGCCTCTTCCCTGCGCTCGGCCTTATCTCCCCCTCCACATTTCGCCGGCGCCGCGCCGCCCCCCGCGCGCGCTGCCCGGGCCGTCCCGGCGAGGCCTGGGGGAGCCTGCGCTCCCCGCCGCATTGTTCGGGCCGGCCCGGGGCGCGGAGGAGGGATGAAGGCCAGTCAAAGGGAAGCGGGCGCGCCGCGGCTTCATTAACGTCGGCCTTTCAGCGGCGCGCATATCAGAGCTAGGCCTTTTCACAGGCGCTAATTAGCAATTTGGAGCCTTCCCCCCTCTGGAGAGGCGCCTTCAATCTAACAAGTGGGAACGGCGCTGCGCTCCCTTTTTTCTTGCGCTTAATATTTATTGTTTTCCATTTTCTCCGTCGCCCTCGCTTCCCCCTCCCACCCTGCCGCATTGTCCAGCTGACCGCCACCAGATAAGGCCTTGGGGAGGGGGCAGGGGAGGGGGCATCATTAATCACTCTTTTAATTCTTGGCTAATGATAACTTTCTCGCACGGAGAGAAGTTAATCTTTCCTGGATGTGGAGAGGAAGGGAGAGTTGGGACGGAGCCGGGGTGGGTCAACACAGAAGGATGGCGATGATGGAAGGGGCCAGTCTAATTCTTCCTCCTCCCACCCCATTCCCCAACTTTCCCCCCCTGACCTGTTGGCATTACAACTAGATACGCTCGTTCTTCCTGCCCCGCTATCCAGCAGCAACCTTTCCCCCAAATCTGACGTATTCATCAAAGCTCAGCTCAGATACCCCCTCCTCCGTGAAGCCAACCCTGATTGTCCGGGCTGAATCTCTCTAAAATCCTATAGCGCTCTTCACACACTGTGATTATGGCGAATTCTGCCCATGCTGTGGTGGCTTATAAGTCAAGTGTAGAGACTACCAAATCTTTAAAACGTCTGTATCCTCCCTAGGACCGGTGTACAGTAAATGTTTGTGGAATCAATGGATCAACACATTTCTGACTACCACAACAGTACAGGCTTTTTTTAAAAAAAGGAAAAAGTAAAAATGGCTCACCCCTGTAATCCCAGCACTTTGGGAGGCCGAGGCAGGTGGATCACGAGATCAGGAGTTCAAGACCAGCCTGGCCAAGGTGGTGAAACCCCCTTTCTACTAAAACTACAAAAAAAAAATTAACCAGGCGCGGTGGCAGGCACCTGTAATCCCAGCTACTCCGGAGGCTGAGGCAGCAGAATCGTTCGAACCAGGAGGCGGAGGTTGCAGTGAGCCGAGATGGCGCCACTGCACTCCAGCCTAGGTGACAGAGTGAGACTCCATCTCAAAAAAATATATATATATTGCCAGACGTTTAAATAGCATTTGCCCTTGCTGCATGGCACACACTGTTCTAAGCACTTACTAATATTCACTCACTGAATCCTCATAACAACCCTGATCGGTAGATGTGGCTCCTGTTGTACAGATGAGGAAACCAAGACACAGAGAGGGTTAGTAACTTGCCTATGATCACAGAGCTGTGAAGCAGCAGAGCTGGATTCAAACTCAGGCTTTCGGGCTTTAGAGTCTGTGTTCTTAAGCCCATTGTGCTGGGATATGATCTTGGCTTCCACACGGGACTCTGCTTCTCTACCTGGGTGGTGGAGTGGGCTGGGAGGGAGGCCCATGCCAGGAGTGCAGGCCGGTGCAGAAGGGTTGGTAAAGATGGCAGATAAGCCAGGCCCTCACCTGAAAAGCCCACACAACAGTCAGACCTGACACCTGGTGTTTGGCACTTGGCCACAAAGAGAGCCCTATCAATAGTGGCCTAAGCCCTGGGCCCAGACCATGGCCAAGACCCCCTGCATAACCTGATCTCCCTTCTCACCGCAGGCCCATGCCACTCATTTCGAGACAACAGGATCAAAATTCCCAACAAACTCTGGGTTCTGTATGCAGAAGTGAGTTGAGTGGAGTGCCCTGGAGAGGGAGGGAGGGCAGGAGAGCCCCCGAAAATCCCCTCCGAATTATAAACATATCCTCTTTAAGTACATTTCTAAGGATAACATTTGTATTACTCTGTCCTGTGCCTGCAGATAGAGCCTGCTTATCTCCTGCATCTCGCTCCTTTCTCTCCACTCTGCTGGGAGCCGTCCCTATCTGAAGCCACACTGGCAATCCGCTTCCCTGCAATTGTTTCGATCGAGGGGAAAAATTAATTTCTGCCTATCGTTAATTGAGAGAATTGTGTGGAGGGCGAGGGAAAGGGAGGGGGAAGGAGAGGAAGGAAGGAGGCGGAGGGGAGCAATCGTGTTATTAACCGTGTCCCTTTCATAAGCAAATATTCTGATTGCCATCAGTGAGATGAGAGGCTTATTAATGCAGGAAGCAGAGAGGTGATTAGAGAACTTTCAAGAGCTATTGAGCTAAGCGGGAGGGAGGGTTGCAGGGATCTGGAGGCTGTGGGAATTTGGGAAGGACTGGGTTGGGGGAAAAGCCACTGGCCTTGTAGATGGGCTTTCCTGCCCCTTCTCAGCCCCTCTCCCCAGGACTCACTTTCAAACAGTCCCCAACACTCACAGCTAGAGTTGGGAAGAATGCAAAAAAGTGAGTGAAAACTTCGCAAAAGTCACTTCTCCAGGTCAAATTTTCTAGCCCCCAAATATGTTTGTCTAAGAGACTGCATGTGTGGTTTTTAAAAGTAATCAATGTTATTTATTTATTTATTAGAAATGGGATCTTGCTGTATTGCCCAGATTGGACTCAAACCCCTCCTGGGCGCAAGTCATCCTCCTGCCTCAGCCTCCTGAGGACCTGGAACTACACGTGTGGGCCACCATCTCTCGCTCGATGTGTTTGTTTTAATTATGGGATTGTACTCCCTGATTTACCAGTCCCCACCAGTTCCTGTTTACTGCCCCCATCCTGCCTCACTTGTTTATGTCCCTGCCTGGTCTGTGACATCCTTTGTGTGTGCAGCTCAGTCAGGCTGGGGCTGCAGAGCTCAGAACTGCTGGAGGCGGTTGGGGATTGAGAGGGAGGAGACGGTGAGAGGAGATGGGCACGTGGGATGGTGCCAAGGGTGGATGTTGTTGGTACCCACCTCACATTCTCCCCAACCACTTCTGATTTCAGCCATAGCTATGCTGGTCAGTGCCATGGGAACGTGTTCCAACCCAATTCGCCTCAAACAGGACCTCATATTTCTCTCAAGCTTTCTGCCCCAGGAACTTCTCCAAGGAGAAGGTGCTCAGCCCTCCAACACACCCCCCTCCACACACACACACCAAGCATGGTGCAGAAGTCTGGGTGAGTTTATGCCCCCTGAGCCAATCGGGGACAGACGTCTGTGAATAAATACCCTGGAAAAGTAACTCTGGGGGCCATTCTGTGTCCAGCTCAGAGGGCCTGGTGGAGTCGAGCCCCACTGCCTGCAGCAGCTCTCTTGAGAGCACACTCTTTCACTGGCAACTGTATCGGCCTCACTTTCCCCATCCTCACTCCTGCTACCTGTTGCCACCTCTCAAACTATCTGTACCCAAGTCTGCTCAGTTCTGCTTCCAGGGGAACACAAACTGAGACACTAGCCATATGTGTCTCTAGTACAAAGGGCAGGAGATGGTCACAAGGGAGACTGGCAAGCACTACATTAGAGAATGGCTATGGATGGTTCTGGGCGGCAGCAGGTGCTAGAGACAAAGGCATATGCTGGGGCAGAAGAGCCAAGATCAGGAGCCAAGGAGAGTAGGGAAGCCACAGGTTGAGCTCAGGTGCTGAGACAAAACCACATATGAGCCAGAGATGACAACTCCTGGAAACTGACGCTCTGTTGGGGAAAGCTGCGTAGGCAGCCCTGTGGTGGCACAGCCACAGCAGCATGGCCAGCTTCCTGGGTTGTGGCCAGACACTACATCTGGGCTCAGGGTGCTCCAGACACTAAATGGCCATCTCTAGGTGCTTCCAAATCTTCCTGACCTCTCCCAGCTGTGGACCTGAGAAATTCTCCAAGACAAACAGAAACCATGCCCAGTTCTTCTTCACACCCAGCTCTTCTAGCTCCCAGAATACTTCCCAATGTCTGTTTTCAAAGTAAGGTGCTCCCAGCTGGAGGCACAAAAGAGACAGAAGCAGAGGAATATGAGGGAGAGAGAGCTGGTGCAGAACTCAAGGGAAGGGGGCTGTGGTTATCCTGTCCCCCAAACCTCATACCCAAAGGACAACTGGCTTCTCCTCCAAGAACCAAATGTTCCCTCCCAATATATCCAGACTCCAAAAATAGGAGCGCGACCAGCAGAGGCACCAAGACCAAAAGGAGGCCTGGGAAAAATTAGGAAAGAAGAAAAGAAAGAAAGAAAAGGAAAAAAGGGAGAGAAAAGAGCGGGAGAGGCACTTGGAGATTTTCAGAACAATCTCCATTCTTTACGGTGCTTTCTGTTTAAAAAAAAAAAATGAAAAAGGAATGATGGAGAAGGGGAGAGAGTCGGACAAGTTTAATGATGTGTGTTCAAAGCTCAGATTGGAAAAATGACAGAGAAAAGCAGCCTGTTTCAGCATTAATAAATTGTTCTCTGCCGTAAGAGGCGCCTGTCGCGGCATTAATACAGGCCCCTAATACACGGGTCAGGGTTAAGTAATTCTCTCCGGCAACTTAAGCGAATAATGAAGCTGGCAGCGGCCAGTGGTGCAGTGGGAGAGATGGTCTATGCCGCCGGCACTTTGTCTTCATTTATTATGCCAGCGGCAGCATGGACGGGAAGCCTCCGCTGAGGAGATATCGCTTCATTTCGGCAAGGTAATGAAAGCCGGGTTGGGGGGAGGATAAACCAATTTGCCGGCTGACACTGGGAGAAGTGATTTGCGGACTCAAGAAGGGGAGAGGAGGGCCCATGCACAAGGAGGCACAAGGCTAAGCCATGGTGGGCCAAGGCCCTTCCACAGGCAGAGGCTGGGCAGGGGCACCCCAGTGGGGTGAGTGGAACAAAGCTAAGGGAAGAAGGGGGTAAAGTGGAAGACCCAGGTGAGTGGAAAAATGAACGGAGAACAGAGCAAAGGAAAGAAAGGTCACAGATATATGGTATCTGGGGGTAACGGATGGCTGAGGCTGGGAAAAGGGGCATTGTGGGAAAGAAAAGAAACTGAGGCAGAAGCTGAGAGTACAAGAAAAGACCAAGGCTAGTGGGGCAGAGAAAGTTGGATGGGGATTGCAGGGAGAAAGTAAGTATAGGCTGGCTGATAACAAGGTTGAAATATCTGGAGGTAAACTGTTTTTGAATGGGGAGTCTGAAGTTTGCTGAGAACATTCCAGTGGTCATACAGTTTGGCGATTATGTCCTTTATGAACAGCTCTGGCCAGTTGGCCATCAGAACCACCTCTGTTCTGGAGAACAGAAGCTGTTCTCCAGTGATGTCCTCAGGTGGCAACTTAAATTTGGGGGCTGATGGTCTGAGCTTGTGTTACTGTGGGAGTAGGAGGTGCAGTCTCTTCCTTCTGATCAGAATCGCTCACGGAAGGAGGTCCCCCAGTTATACCTTAGAAGTGGAAGGAAACCCTCTCCTGGGTCATGTGTCCAGGTGAGTCTCCCCTGCAGTTGAGTACCTCCCTCCAGCAGTCTGGCCTAATTAGTTGTCATTCTTTGTGCCAAGTCTAATTTCTTGTCCTGAGTAACAAGAAGTAAGAGCAGGACTGGTGGCTCCTGCCAGTCCTCTCATAATGTTGGTAACCATGTCTTGTGTGCAATTCAAGGTCACATCTGAACCAGGCGCCACACCCATAGAGGCAGACATAACCCCAGTGAAGTGGGTTGGGTTACGTAACTGCCCTGTTACTTTCTCCAGCACTGGCACCTTTCTTTCTTCCCTTCAGCACCAAGACTTTTGGACAGCTCCACTGAGAGCGCCAGCAAATTAAACAGGCTTTCTACCCTTATTATCACGTTTTCAAGTTCCCTAAGACCCATTCCTACCCCTTCCTCCTAAGATTAAGATGAGCAGATCCTCAGCACTCAATAAATGGAGAAGAATCTCAATCTCCTCTTCCCCACCTTCCCCTTGCCAGTGTGCTTCTCTCCTTCTTAGTCTACACCCACCCCTGCACACGTTTGTAAGCATATGCACACGCACGTGTGTGCATGCACACACTCTCTCTCTCTCATTCCCAAGTAATGCTGCCACTTTTCTCCCCTGATGTGGGTTAAGGATTTCCAATAAGAACCAAGTATTTGAAGCTTAATACTGCAGTCTCCAGAGGAGCCAGGCCAATTTCACACTAATCTAACCCATGAAGGGAGAGAGCAACGGAAGCAAAAATTACATCAAAGAGAAGTTAATGCTGAGAAGCAGGCGACATAAAAAGGAGCTACTTTCAGTTTCAAAGGACTACACCAATCTGGATTAAGAGATCAGCCTACCGAATGCCTGTATCACCATTGCTGTGTCCGGGCACCAGGCAGAATGAAACCATGTCCTCAGGGGCCACTCTGAATGGGGTCAGAGGAGAAAAATGAGGTTTCCACCCTGACTCCACATTCATTGACATAGTACATGCTCTGGGCTGGGGGCTTTTGGGAAAATAAGTTAAAGAAATATAGGAGAAAAGACTAGAAGAAAGCACATCAAAATGCTAGCTTTGTATTTAGGGGATTTTCCCCTCTTTCTATTGCTCCATATTTTCTGGAATGAAGTTTTCTTACTTTCATGGTGACAAAAGTAAAATAGATGTTCAAACAGCAATGGGACCTCAATGTGCTTTCCTCCATCTGGAATGTATATCTCTAGGCATTTTCCTTGGCACAGCACTTAGCACAGTTATGTTTATAGGTGAAAAAGCACTTTATAAATGACTGTGCAGAGGATTATGATGGTGTGGTCAGCGATGGAAAGTGATGGGGGAGCTGCAGTTTCATTCAGTAATTCTAAGACAGTGGCAGATGGCAACCTGAGAAGTTCTAAATGCTTCAATTCTCCCCCTTTTCAGGATGTGGAGGCTCAGTGCTGCTAAACCCCCAGCACTCTGCTACAGCCAAACTGAATGCCATTTGTTGAATGAGCAAAGAAATGAACGAAAGAAAAAGCGACGATCTTTTCCATTTCATCTGACCACCGACAGTATTGCTCCAAAGTAGTTTGACTCCATCCTTCCTTTTGCACAAGGCCCCACTGCTCCCTCCCAAACAGATGACCTGGAGACCAGGAAAGAATTCTTGTCAAGCTCCCAGACAAAGGTTGCTCAAACAGCCAATACCCCTTGCCCCGAGAGACCACCAATCTGTCTCCATCTGCTGACTGCTGGGCTTCTTCCAAATCCTTGAGCCTGAAGTCCACTGACCTGGGGGAATGACCCACAAGACAGAGAGAAGTGGAGGGACATCAAGAATGATGGGCCCAGCCTGTGGTGCCTCTGGGGAGGAGCTGCTTGTCATCCCATTTTAAGTGGAGCTGAAGGGAGACCGGCCTCCTGCCCACCCCTCCTCTTGCCCACCCGAGGCGGCAGCCTGACAAGTGTAAATCCCAGAATGAATGGAGGCGCCCGGCCCGTGGAGCCGGTGTCTCCGCGGGCATCTCCGCGCTGATTGACTTGTCGCCTCTGCGAGGCTGACTCTATCAGCTCCTCGGCTCCTCCAATTCCAGGTGTGATTTAGTTTGGAGATGAGAGGTGACAGTTAACATTGGTACTCGTCACTGTAGATCAGACCGCAGTCACGCTGTCTTCCCCCTCCCCAGCCCGCCCCCTCCCTCCTCCGAGGCGCCAGGGTCAGCGCTCCCGCCCAGCCCACCGACGGGCAAGCGAGGCTCCCTTCCACAGTCTGCATTCCCCAGGGCTTCCTCAATGCCAACACCTTCCTCCGGCCTGACCGTCACTGTTTCCCAAAAGCCCAGGCATCCTTGGCTTCCCTGGAATCCCCGGATGGTTTTTCTTTCTGTCTTCTCTCTCCTGGTTAGCCTAGCCTCTGAGCAACCTCAGTCTCCGCTGGCTCCCTGCACAGGATCCCCTGCAGGGGCCAGAGGGATGTTCACTGGGCAACGTGTCCTCACCAAATGCAGAGTTTGGAAGAGATGCGAGTGGATGAGAGCCAGGGTGAGCTGGATCCAGCACTGCTCTGTACATTGTAGAATAAACTTGTGCAACCACCACTCAGATCAAGATATAGAGCAGTTCCAACACCCCAGAAGTGTCCAGTGTCCAAGGGAGGCTTTTGGGGGTCAAAAACTTGTCAAAGGAAGACTTGGGTGAGATACGAGCAAAACTTCTCAGGCCATGAAGGACCCAGAAGGTGGGTGGGAAAGGGGGAGAGTTCCCTGGATAAAGAGCTACTCTTTTCTAGGCTTCTGGAAAGTGAACTGTTGAGTGAGAGGAGGGATTTTAGCTGTGGCACTGTCAGAGGGTTCTCTAGAGATGCTTCAGGGGTCACTGATGAGGGTCTCTAGGCGGTGGAGTGGGCAGCCTCAGTGGTTCCACCTATGTCTGTGTCATTCACTGGGCTTCTCTGCAGGATTTCATTTGAAAGAAAAGTTCTGTGGTGGAAATACTCTCTGCTCTCCTTGTTGTGCCACATGGCCTCTGTTGCACTAACATATATAGATTCTATGACCACTGTCTCTCCCTGCAGACCCTTCTTCACTCCTTCCCACTTTCACTGAGCCTCACACTGTGCTGGGAATAAAGCTGTCACCTTCTCAACAGAGCACATTCTCTACTGCCAGCCCACACACACTCCAATTCTGACTCCAGGCTTATCTGCCTTGGAGCTGCTGAGAGGAACCCAGATTCCTGCCTTTGGGTTCCCTATCTCCTTGAGAAACTGCTGGAGGGAGGGGCTGCAGGAGTTTTCCTGGGCACAGGTAGAAAAACAGAGAAGGGAGGGAACCTTGGTTAGGTTCATTCTCTTTGTTACAGTTTGAATGTGTCTCCTCCAAAATTCAGGTGTTGCCAATGTGACAGCAGTAGCTAGTGCGGCCTTTAGGGAGTGATTAGGGCAGGAGGGCTCCTGCCTTGTCAATGGGATTAGCCGCCTTTATAAAGAGGCTTGGTGAAGGGAGTTGGTTTCTCTCTTGCCCCACCCACCTGCCTTCTACCTTGTGAGGGCACAGCATGAAGGCCCTCACCAGACAGATGCTGATGCCTTGATCTGGGCCTTATCCTCCGGCACTGTGAGAAATAAATGTCTGGTGTTTAAGGCACCCAGGCCATGGCATGTTGTTATGGCAGCCCAAATGGGCTAAGACATCAGGCTTGTCTAATTTTGAGGTCTACACTATAGAAAACCACATTCCCCGATTGATTTTTTCCCGTTTTAATATTAAAATTTAATTATAAAAGTAATAGTAAAATAAATTATCATTTAAAAAATAAAACATAAATGATAATGTTTGACCAACCTTGAGTCTTGGTCTCTTCCTGTTCTCCCAGAGGTTATCACTGTGAGCAAGTTGGTGCGTAACCTTCCAATGATTTTTCTATGTCCTTACATACATATGTGCATACCCTGTAGAAAAAGACATATTATTATGCTGCAGTGATATTTTGTTCTTACATAAATGGCTTTCTATGTGTTGTTTGACTTTCTTTTTTTTTTTTCTTTTTGAGACGGAGTCTCACTCTGTTGCCCAGGCTGGAGTGCAGTGGCACGATCTCAGCTCACTGCAACGTCTGCCTCCTGGGTTCAAGCAATTCTCCTGCCTCAGCTTCCCCAGTAGCTGGGATTACAGGTGTGCGCCACCATGACTGGCTAATTTTTGTATTTTCAGTAGAGACAGGGTTTCGCCATGTTGGCCAGGCTGGTCTCAAACTCCTTACCTCAAGTGATCTGCCCTCCTTGGCCTCCCAAAGTGCTGGGATTACAGGCGTGAGCCACCACGCCCAGCCTGCAACTGACTTTCTTTGCTCAGAATTCTGTTTACCACTGCATGGTTTTCGCTCTATTTGGGGCTAAGCCATCCCTATTAATGGACTTAGGCTGTTCCCGGTTTATTGCTATCACAGTGCAGTGGCAACTATGATAGCAATAAACATATCTGTGTTGTCTTGTGTGCTTGTGCACGTGGTTCTCTAGGACAGACACCCATAAGTGACATTGTTGGATCACAGGAATACATGGTTTTAACTTTAATTGTCCTTCCAAACAATCCCTTCAGAGAGGATTTACAGTTTACAGTACCACCAGCAACGTATGAAAGTATTACTTCCTCACACTCTTGACAATACTTGATGATACCATACTTTTAAAATTTTACTTACTTGATGGGTGGAAAATGCTGCCTACTTTAACTTTTCTGTTTTTTCTTTTTTTTTCCTTGAGACAGAGTCTCACTCTGTTGCCCAGGCTGGAGTGCAGTGGTACGATCTCGGCTCACTGCAAGCTCCACCTCCTGGGTTCACGCCATTCTCCTGCCTCAGCCTCCCAAGTAGCTAGGACTACAGGTGTCTGCCACCACACCGGGCTATTTTTTTTTTTTTTTTTTTTTTGTATTTTTGGTAGAGACAGGGTTTCACCGTGTTAGCCAGGATGGTCTCGATCTCCTGACCTTGTGATCCGCCAGCCTCAGCCTCCCAAAGTGCTGGGATGACAGGCATGAGCCACCGTGCCCGGCCAACTTTTCTGTTTTTAATTCTCCTGTGATTACTTATGCAAAGGGGTCCCTAGTATAATTCCCGTGGAAGAAAAGTGGAGAGATAGAGCAACCCCTGGTGTTTATTCAGGCAAACTGGGTAAAATTATAACAGCTGACATTTACTGAGCACAGCCCTGTGTAGATTGTTTAGCACATGTCTGGGAGGCAGGTGTACTTGGGTTTGAATCTTGGTCTTGCCACTTTCTAACTGTGTGACACTGCATGAGTCATTAACCTTTATGAGTCCTGGGTCCCCCTCTATTAAATGGGGATGATAATAGTAGCCACCTCATAGGATTATTGGAAGAATTAAAAGAGTTAGTATTTTATATGGTTTGGCTATGTCCCCACCCAAATCTCATCTTGCATTGTAGATCACATGTTGTGGGAGGGACGTGGTGGGAGGTAATTGATTCATGGAGGCATGTCTTTCCCATGCTGTTCTCATGATAGTGAGTAAGTCTCACAAGATCTGATGGTTTTATAAAGGGGAGCTCCCCTGCACACGCTCTCTTGCCTGCCACCATGTAGGATGCGACTTTGCTCCTCATTCACCTTCCACCATGATTGTGAGGCCTCCCCAGCCATGTGGAACTGTGACTCAATTAAACCTCTTTCCTTTATAAATTACTCAGTCTCAGGTATGACTCTATTAGCAGTGTGAGCACAGACTAATACAGTATTTTTAAAGTTTTTAAGTGCCCATCGTAGTGCATATTTGTATTTGTAGGTAATTACAAATATATGTCAGCATCTGTGTTCTTTATGTATATTGATTCATTTGAGTCCCCCATCAGTTTTGATGCAATAAATACTCTTGTTAATCCCACTTTATGGAAAAAGAAACTGGGGCAAAAAAAAAGTTTGAAAAACTAGTCCAAGGTCACACAACCATACGGGCAGACCTAGGATTTGAACTCAGGTCATTCAGCACCATTTAATCACTGCACTATGCGTTGTTAAAGGGGAAAAGAGGGAGCCAGATTTCATATTTTGTGGTAAATGTGAAAAGTGGGATAAACCTCTTAGCTGTCTCAGAAAAGCACTAGGAAGAGGCCATCATAACCCCAGCCTTGTACAGCATGTGCCAGGCTTTGAGACATACTTCCCTCCATCCTTGCTAGTCTTGGAGTCCGGAGTCCAAAAGCCTTGTGTCTGCACCCCAGCTCCACCACTTCATTGCTCTGTAAACTCAGGCAAGCCTCCCACCCAGGAGAGCCTTCCTGTCTTCCTTGGTTAAAATGCAGGCAGGGTCTCCTTGAGGATTAAAAGCAACAATGCCTGCAAAAGCCCTGCATAGAACAGGGGCCCCCACAACCCTTACTGTAGTTCTTGCCTTGGACTCCTGCCATTTTCAGATTTTACCTCTTCCCAATTCTCTCTTTTCAAAGCTCATATGGTCATGAGGAAGAACTAGGAACAGTGGTGCCCCAAGGGTGGGACAGTGAGTGCAGTCTGCCCCAGGAACTGGCAATAAGGGGATCCATTGCCTTAAGGACCTTAAAAAAATTATAATACCAACTGAAAGTCAGTCTTCTTTTTATTATTACCATTTGCTAGTAATTCTAAACCATGACAGTGATAAAATTCTCCTCCCTGAAAAAATATTTTGTTACTC